>NC_000023.11:86704966-87007996 GCF_000001405.40 Homo sapiens | reverse complement strand
TTTAGCATTTGAAATATGGCATTACATTGACTTTTGGCTTTCATTATTTCCACTAAAATTATTAAGAATTATTTATGTAAGAATTATTAAATGTCATATTAATTTATATTATTACTTCTTTTTATATACATGATCCCCACTGATATGGTTTGGCTGTGTACCCACCCAATTCTCACCTTGAATTTTATTGCTTCTTTCAATATAAATGATCCGCACTGGTATGTTTGGCTGTGTCCCCACCCAAATCTCACTTGAATTGTAATCTCCATAACCCCCATGTATTATGGGAGTGACCTGGTGGGAGATAATTGAATAATGAGGGCAGTTTCCCTCATGCTGTTCTCATGATAGTGAGTGAGTTCCCATGAGATCTGATGGTTTTATAAGGTGCTTTTTCTCCTTTGCTCAGCACTTCTCTTTTCTGCCTCCATGGGAAGAAGAATGTGTTCGGTTCCCCTTCTTCCATGATTGTAAGTTTCCTGAGGCCTCCCCAGCCATGTGGAGCTATGAGTCAATTAAATCTCTTCTCTTTATATTATCCAGTCTCAGGTATTTCTTCATAGCACTGTGAAAACATATTAATACAGTAAATTGGTACCACAGAGAATGGGGTGCTTCTACAAAGATACCCAAAATGTGGAAGCAACCTTAGAAATTGGTAATGGGCAGAGGTTGGAACAGTTCGGAGGGCTCAGAAGAAGACAGGAAAGTGTGAGAAAGTTTGGAAACTCCTAGAGAGGTCTTCAGGAGAAGACAGAAAGATGTGAGAAAGTTTGAAACTTCCTAGAGTCTTGTTGAAAGGCTTTGACCAAAATGCTGATAGTGATATGAACAATGAAGTCCAGACTGCAGTGGTCTCAGATGGAGATGAGGAATTTGTTGGGAACTGGAGTAAAGGTCACTCTTGCTATGCAAAGAGACTGGTGGCATTTTGCCCCTGCTCCAGAGATCTGTGGAACTTTGCACTTGAGAGAGATGATTTAGGATATCTGCTGGAAGAAATTTCTAAGTGGCAAAGCATTCAAGAGGAAGCAGAGCATCAAAGTTTGGAAAATTTGCAGCCTGACTATGCCAGAGAAAAGAAAAACTCATTTTCTGGGGAGAAATTCAAGCCTGCTGCAGAAATTTGCATAAGTAACCAGGAGACTAAAGTTAATCACCAAGACAATGGGGAAAATGTCTCCAGGGCATGTCAGAGACCTTCATGACTGCCCCTCCCATCACAGGCCCAGAGACCTAGAAAGGAAAACTGGTTTCCTGGGCTGGGTCAAAGGCTCCCCTGCTGTGTGCAGCCTAGGGACTTGGTGCCCTGCCTCCCAGCCATTTCAGCCATGGCTAAAAGTGGCCAAGATACATCTCAGGTCATTGCTTCAGAGGGTATAAACCCCAAGCCCTGGAAGCTTCTACTTCATGACAGGCCTTCAGGTGTGAAGAAGACAAGAATTAAGGTTTGGGAACCTCTGCCTGGATTTCAGAGGATGTATGGAAATGCCTGGATGTTCAGGCAAAAGTCTGCCTCAGAGGTGGGGCCTGCTTGGAGAACCTCTGCTAGGGCAGTGTGGAAGGGAAACATGGGGTTGGGACCCCCACTTAGAGTCCCTACTTGGGCACTGCCTAGTGGGGCTGTGAGAAGAGGGCCGCCATTCTCCAGATCCCAGAATGATTGATCCACCGACAGCTTGCACTGTGTGCCTGGAAAAGACACAGACACTCAACACCACCTGTAAAAGCAGCTGGGAGGGGACTGTACCCTGCAAAGCCACAAGGGCAGAGCTGCCCAAGGCTATGGAAGCCCACCTATGGCATCAGCATGACCTGGTTGTGAGACATGGAGTCAAGGAAGATCACTTTGGAACTTTAAGGTTTAATGATTACCCTATTGTACTTTGGACTTGCATGGGGCCAATAGCCCCTTTATTTTGGCCAATTTCTCCCATTTGGAACAGGTGTATTTACCCAATGCCTGTAACCCCATTGTATCTGGGAAGTAGCCAACTTGCTTTCAGTTTTACAGGCTCATAGGCAGAAGGGACTCACCTTGTCTCAGATAAAACTTTGGACATGAACTTTTGGGTTAATGCTGGAATGAGCAAAGATTGGGGAACTGTTGGAAGGGCAGGATTGTGCTTTGAATTGTGAGGACATGAGATTTGGGAGGGGTCAGCGGTGGAATGATATGGTTTGACTGTGTCCCCACCCAAATCTCATCTTGAATTGTAGTTTCTATAATCCTCACACTGTGGGAGGGATTCAGCAGGAGGTAATTAAATCATGGAGACAGTTTTCCCCATGCTATTCTCATGCTAGTGAGTTCTCACAAAATCTGATGGCTTAAAAGAGTGGCATTTCCTCTTCTCTCTCTCTCCTGCCACTATGTAATACGTGCCTTGCTTCCCCTTCACCTTCTGCCATGATTGTAAGTTTCCCGAGGCCTTCCCAGCCATATGGAACTGTGAGTCAATTAAATCTCTTTTCTTTATAAATTATTCAGTCTCAAGTATTTCTTCATAGCAGCATGATAACAGACTAATACGACTAATACACCCACCATTCCATTAGCACATTTGAAGATTTCCTCCTTATATTTGATTTTCAGAAGTTTCACTAGTGCATGTCAAGTTTCACTTTTGGTTCTGCATAGGTGTTCTTTTCAGTTTTGAATATATTTTTAAATGTTTCACAAATATTTACTCAAACATTTTCTTCCCCATTGTTCTCTTTTCTGTTTCTGGGATTCCAGTAACACGCATTTTAGACCACTTGATGACTGGAATCTAGATAACCTTATTCCACAGGTTATCTAGCTTCAGTTATACTTTCTAAGTCTGTTTTTAACTGTCCTTCAGCTACACTAGTTTCCATTAGTCACTCTTTATGTTCACTGATTATTTATTATATGGCATCCAATCTTCCTTTAAGTTTATCTAATATATATATTTTTTATTTCGGATGTTGCATTTTTTATTTCTAAGGTTTTCATTTTAAGGTTTCTTTTCTTTCCTCAAATTTCCCATGTCTACTCTGTTACATTCACATTTTCCTAGAAATCCCTAAGCATAATACCTGTTTTAAAGTCTTTGTGTGATAACTCCAACATCTGGCTTATGTTCAGGTCTGCTTCTATTGTTCATTTATGTTAATTATAAGGCCCATATTCATGCGGATTAAAATTTTTGGTAAATTATAAAATGGACATTATAGATGAATGATTTTAGAGTTTTGATGTCCATTATTTTATTCTGCAGAGTATTAAATTTGTTCTCCTTTAATATTTTGTTTGTTGTTGTTGCTGTTGCTGTTGTTGTTGTTGTTGAGATGGAGTCTCACTCTGTCACCAGGTTGGAGTGCAGTGGCACGATCTCGGCTCACTGCAACCTCCACCTCCCAGGTTCAAGCCATTCTCCTGCCTCAGTCTCCCGAGTAGCTGGGATTACAGGTGCCTGCCACCATGCCTGTCTAATTTTTGTATTTTTATTACAGATGAGGTTTCACCATGCTGGCCAGGATAATCTTGATCTCATGACCTTGTGATCCTCCTGCCTCAGCCTTCAAAAGTGCTCGGATTACAGGCATGAGCCACTATGCCCGGCCAATATTTTGTTATTAATATTGTATTGCTTCTTTATCATTTCTTTTTATATATATTTTCAGGTCGTGATCCATTTATGTTTTATTATTTTTCCCCCTTGGAATTTTTATTATAGTTTTTCATTGCAACAGATATTGTAACTTTCCATTAATTCATGATTAGATACATTTTCCAACAACAAAAAATAAATAAATAAACTGCTACCATTTTCCACTAATGTGTAGTTTTATAAATCAAATTCATGCATTTTCTATCTAACTCTCCCTCCACTCTAAGCTGAAGGATCTTGTGGGTCACTCATTCCATTTTGTAAAAACAGCTTACACTTTATGGTTTTACATAATATGCTCCTATGTGAGATTTTTTCAAAATATTCAACTACTGAAAAAAGGCTGAAAGTCAACAATTTAGTCTATTGTGTTCCTTTGTAAATGCAGAAATAAGTTTAGGATAATAAAGGTATTGTATATATTTATATGATAGAGAAGTCCTAGAACCTAAGTCTTGTGACTTTCTTACCCTGTAACATATTTCTTTTAGTAAAGAATATTGCCTTCCATTAAAGTAACACATATTCATGTGAGATATGAGGAAGTGCTTCTTTATGCTTTATCTAGAGGAGGCAGGTCAGTGAAAATCCAAACACTACCATTTCAGCATCCTAGGGTTCAAGTGTTCATTTGTAACTGGCAAAAGCTGCTAACAATTAGCTACTCCTTCTCCCTTTCTGCCTTCTGAATCATCACTTTTTAAAATAAGCATCTAAAATGCAGTTACACTGCATTTGAATTACAGCAGCTCTTGGATCATCCACACTATCTTCTATGAATATTTGGGAGTCAGTGCCAATTGCAAAGCATATTTTGTAAAACAATAACAAATGTTTCCAGGCTCAATTATATACATTTCACCTTTCAGAGATAGGTGGGTAAAGAAGAATTCTTTGGTACAAGTAAAGAGCAGTTATTTATGTAAAAATTAAAAAGCAGTTGCTTTAATTTAGTAGTTAAGTAGTTGCTTCAATTTAGTAGTTGAAAACTATTTAGATATCTATCAAACTCCTTAAATAATGTGTTTAAAAGATTTTGACTTTAGATACTAACTTTACAAATGTAAATTTCCTGCCTATCTGCCTTTCTTTCTCCCTTCTCTTTTTATATGTATATCCACAGTTTCCCAGTAGGTTAAGGCACAGATGGCTGCCTTATTGTAACAGAAGAAAAATGCTACATTAATGTATAACAGGATTAAAAATTATTTCAGCAGCAGTGGCATATGTTACCAGTTAATCCCTGTAGTGGATGCTTCCCTGCTGTTTAAAATCATGAGCATATTTTACAGGCTTCCTGCAGAGCAGTATGAAATGTCATATTTGTTGACATAGTTTTAAATATAGTTTGACAAAAATTAGTCATAAAGACAATTCTTCCACACTATCTGTTTGTGGGCTTAAGTAAAAGTAGATTGCAATATCATTGCTGGATAAAAGGAGCTTGTAATTCCTTTGTATTCAGAAAGACTCACGTGAAAATAACAGGGTGCTTCAAAGATGATCAATAGTTTTAGCATCTTCTCTACACGATATTACATGACTGATACCTAGACTACAATAGCCAGCCATGTATTGGAAGTATTATCAGAATGCAAGACAGAATTATCTAAACCTTACTCTTCTTAAATAATGGTGCAAAAAGTGTCTTTATCATCTTCCCAGCAGTAACAATGTCAAATATTGACTGAGGACTTTCTACAAGCAAGTCAAGTAATTAACATTGCACTGAGTAGCATTATCTTTCAAAAATTTCTATTCTACTATTAAATTTTCCTAATGATTACTAGTTTACAAGTGAGATTATTTCAATTCAGTAAGATACTTTACTTGAATAAAATTCAGAGAAAAGTTTTAAAAGCTAAAAATACGCTTTTAATCAATTCTGCTTCAATAGTCTGGCTCTTTATTTTTTATTGTTTCACTAACTTCATATTCAATATTTTTAGTTCACATGTTCTTTACCTTTGGTAAACCCTATTCTTTTATAATTGTTTATCTTTTTATTATTTTTAATTTTTGGAGGTGTATAGTAGGTGTATATATTTATGGGGCACATAAGATGTTTTAATATAGGCATGCAATATGTAATAATTACATCCTGGAAAATGGGGTATATATCTGCTCAAGCATTTATCCTTTGTATAACAATCAAATTAGACTTTTAAAGTTATTTTGAAATGTATAATTAAATTATGTTGACTATAATGATCCTGTTTTGCTATCAAGTACTATGTATTCATAATCATATCGTGGAGAAAGGGGTATCCGGTCCCTCAACCACTTAATTTTTGAGTTAAAAGCAATCCAATTATACACCTTTAAGTTATTTTGAAATGTATAATTATGTTATTATTGACAGTGGTCACACTATTGTGCTGTCAAATAGTAGGTCTTATTCATTCTCCTATTTTTGTACCCATTAACTTTCCCTCCTTCCTCCACCAACACCCTTACATTTCCCAGCATCTGGTAACTATTCTTCTACTTTCCATGTGTTCAATTTTTTTACTTTTAGATCCCACAAGTAAGTAATCATCAGTAATAACTTAATTGTACATTTTAAAATAACTTAAAGAGTATAATTGGATTGTTTGTAACTCAAAGGATAAATGCTTGAGAGAATGGATAACTCATTCTCCATGATGTTCTTATTTCATACCGTATGAAAAAATGAACATGCAATGTTTGTCTCTCTGTGTCTGGCTTATTCTACCTAATGATCTCCACTTACATCCATGTTGTTTCAAATAACAGGATATCATTCTTTTGTATGGCTAAATAGTACTCCATTGTGTGTATGTGCCACATTTTCTTTATCCATTAATCTGTTGATGGACACAGATTGCTTCCAAATCTTGACTATTGTGAACAGTTCTGCAACAAACGTGAGAGTACAGATATGCCTTTGATATACTGATTTAATTTCTTATGTGTATATACCCAATAATGGGCTTGTTGGATCATATGTAGCTCTATTTTTAGTATTTTGAGGAACCTCCAAACTGTTCTCCATAGTAGATATTTCTAATTCATATTCCCACCAACAGTATACCAGGGAGTTTTGTGAGCTTCTTGCATATTCTGGTTATTAATCCCTTGTCAGGTGGGTAGTTTTCAAATATTTCTCCCATTTTGTAGGCTTTCTCTTCACTTTGTTGATTATATCTTTTGCCGTGCAGAAGCTTTTAAATTTGCTGTGACCCAGTTTGTCCATTTTTGCTTTGGTTGCCTGTGCTTGTGGGGATATTGCTCAAGAAGTTTTGCCCAGATCAATGTTCTGGAGATTTTACCCAATGTTTCCTTGTATTAGTTTCATAGCTAAAGGCATAAGATTTCAGTCTTTAATCCATGTTGATTTGATTTTTGCATATGCCGAGATTTAGGGGTCTAGTTTTATTCTGCACATGAATATCCAGTTTTCCCAGCACCATTTATTTAAGTGATGGTGTTTTCCCCAGTGTATGTTCATAGGACCTTTGTCAAAAACAAGTTCACTGTAGGTATGTGAATTTGTCACTGGGTTCTCTGTTCTGTTTCATTGGTCTATGTGTCTGTTTTTATGCCAGTAACATGCTGTTTTGGTTACAATAGCTATGCAGTATAATTTGATGTCAGGTAATTTAATTCCTCCAGTTTTGTTCTTTTTGCTTAGTATAGCTTTGGCTTTTTTTGGGTCTTTTGGGATTCCATATAAATTTTAGACTTGTTTTTATATTTCAGTGAAGAATGTCATTGGTATTTTGGTAAGGACTGCATTGAATCCATAGATCGTTTTGGGTAGAATGGACATCTTAACATTATTGATGCTTCCAATTCATGAACATGGAATTTTTTTTTCTATTTTTTGGTGTAATCTTTAATTTCTTTCATCAGTATTTTATAGTTATTATTATAGAGATCAATTATTTTTTGGTTAATTCCCAGGTATTTAATTTTATGTAGCTACTGTAAATAGGTTTACTTTTTGAATATCTAACTCACATTGCTCACTGTTGTCATATATAAATGCTACTTATTTTTGTAAGTTGAATTTGTATTCTACAACTTTATTGAATTTGTTTATGAGTTCTAATAAATTTCATGTGGAGCCTTTAGGTTCTTATAAATATAACATCATATTTTGTGAAAACAAGAATAGTCGGACTTCTTTCTTTCCAATTTCGATGCCTTTTATGTCCATCTCTTTTCTGACTGCTCTAGCTAGGACTTCCAATATTATGTTGAATAACAATGGTGACAGTGAACATCTTTGTCATGTTCCAGATCTTAGAGGAAAAGTTTTTTGTTTATACCCATTGAGTATGACACTAGCTGTAGGCCTATTATATATGGATTTAATTATGTTGAGGTATGTTTCTTTTCTTCTTAGTTTTATGAGTTTGTTTTGTTTTGTTTTGTTTTCCAGGAGGGACTTTTAATTGCATCAAACCCTTTTTCAGCATCAATCACCTTCTGTTTATGTGATGTATTATGTTGATAGATTTGTGTATGTTGAACCATACTTGCACCCCCGGGATAAAGCCCACTTGGTCATGATGAATGATGTTTCTAATGTATTAATGAGTACAGTTTGCTAGTATTTTGTTGAGGATTTTTGCATCAATATTTATCGGAAATATTGGCCTGTATTCTTTCATTGATGTGTCATTGTCTGGTTTTGGTATCAGGGTAATACCAGCCTCATAAAATATGTTTGAAAGTATTCCCTCCTCCTCTATCTTTTGGCATAGTTTGAGGAGGATTGGTATTAATTCTTCTTTAAATGTTTGGTAGAATTCAACAGTGATGCCATCGGGTCCCAGGCTTTTTTTCACTGGGAGAGTCTTTATTACAGCTTCTATCTTGTTACTTATTATTGGTCTGTTCAGGTTTTGGATTTCTTCCTGGTTCAATCTTAGTAGGTTGAATATATATAGGAATTTTTCCATTGCTTGTAGATTTTCCAATTTTGGAGGCATATAGTTACTCATAGTAGCCACTAATGATCCTTCGAATTTCTGCAGTATCAGCTATAATGTCTCCTTTACACTTCTGATTTTTTAAATTGCATTTCTTTTTTTTTTTTTTCTTATTTAGTCTGGGTAGAGGTTTGTCATTTTTGTTGAAATTTGCAATAAACCAATTTTAGTTCCATTGTTCTTTGGTGTTGTTTTTTATTTCAATTTTATTTATTTCTACTCAGATCTTTATTATTTCTACTACTAATTTTGAGTTTGGTTTGCTCTTGCTTTTCTAGTTCTTTAATATGCATCATTAGATTGTTTATTCGATTTTTTTTTCTTTTTTGATGTAGGCATTTATAGATACAAACTTCCCTCTTCACACATCTTTTGCTGTATCCCATAAGTTTTCATATTGATGTGGTTTAGATTTGTTTCCCCACCCAAATCTCATGTTCAATTGTATTCTTCAATAATGAAGGTGGGTCCCATGGGCGTGTAATTTTATAAATAGCTGAGAACAATCTCTTTTGTGATATTCTCATAATAGAGTATTCATAAGGTTTGTTCATTTAAAAGTGTGTGGTACCTCCCCATGGTCTCTCTTTCTTCTGCACCAGCCATGTTAGATGTGCCTGCTTTCCGTATGCCTTCTGCTATTGTAAGTTTATTGACTGTAAGTTTTCTGAGGCCTCCCTAGAATCAAAAGCCAATATGCTTTCTCTACATCCTGAAGAACAATGAGCCAATTTAACCTCTTTTTTATATAAATTACACAGTGTCAAGTATTTCATTATAGTTATACAAGAACAGACTAATTAAAGTATGTTGTTTTTCCATTATCATTTGATTCATGATATTTTTCAATTTTCTTCTTAATCTCTTCATTGATCCACTGGTCATTCAGGAGCATATTGTTTAATTTTCATTTACTTGTATAGATTCTAAAATTCCTTTGTTATTAACGTGTAGTTTATTCCATCATAGTAAGAGAAAATACTTGATATTATTTCATTTTTCTGAATGTTTTAAAGCTTGTTTGTGACCTAACATATAGTCTATCCTTGAGAATAATCATTGTGGTAAAACAAATGTATATCTTGCAGCTTTTGGAAGAAATATTCTATAAATATCAGTTAGATCCATTTGGTCTGTATTGCAGGTTAAGTATGAATTTTTTGTTTTGATTTTCTCTGGAAGATCTATACAGTAATAAAAGTGGGATGTTAAAGTCTTCAGCTATTATTATATTGGAGCCTATCTCTCTCTTTAGCACTAATATTTATTTGCTTTATATATCTTGGTGCTTCAGTTTTGGGTGAATATGTATTCGAAGTTGTTATTCTTCTTGCTGAATTGACTGCTTTATCGTACTAGCACACAAGCTTGGGCAGACAAGGGAGTGCTGACATCACCCCTCACCTAACACCAGGCTTCACAGCTCCTGTCTCTTAAAAAGGCCCATTTTTTTTTTTACTTGAGGAGAGGAGAGGGAAGACTTTAGCATGCATCTTGAATACCAGCTCAGCCACAGCATAATAGGGCACCAGTCAGAGTCATAAGGCCCCCATTTCAGTTTCAAGTACCAATATGACATTTCTAGACACACCCTGGGCCACAGGAAAAACTGCTGCTTAAAACAAACAAACAAACAAACAAAAAAAACACGGTCATGGCAGCTTTCATAATCTGCTAACTGAAGAGGTCTTGGGCCCTGAATAACAAGGAGTAATACCCAGATACTACATCAGAGGCCTTAGTGGCTTTGAGACTTGCTGGCTTCAGGTGAGATTCAGCACATTACCAACTGTGTGGCTTTGGGGCAAAACTGCTTGAAAAAAGCAGAGGGAAAAGTAAAAGGGACTTTTTCTTGGACTTTAGGTACCAACACCACCACAGGGGCATAGAACACCAAGCAGGCTCTTGGAGTCCCTGATTCCAGGGCTTGACTCTTACATGATATTTTTGGACCTGCCTTGGGCCAGGGAGAGGCCTACCGTTCTGAAGGGTGATTACCAGGCCAGGCAGCATTCACCACAGGCTGGCTTAAGAGAGCTTGGGCCTAAAGGAACATAGTTAGTCTGGCAGTACTCCTCTTGGCCAGGTGTGGAAAGAGTCAAGCAGAAGTTCTGGAGCTGAAGAATGCAATTGGTGTACTGAGGAATGCATTGGAGTTCTTCAATAGCAGATTGGATAAAATATAAGAAATAATTAGTGAGCTTAAGCACAGGATATTTAAAAGTACACAGTCAGAGGAGATCAAAAAGAATTTTAAAAAACCTATGGACCATGCCTGCATGATCTCGAAAATATCCTAAAAAGTCAAATCTAAGGGCTATTGACCTTAAAGAAGAGTCAAAGAGGAGTTGAAAGCATATTCAGTGGGTTAATAACAGACAATGTCCCAAATCTAGAGATACCAATATCCAAATGAAAGTAGGTAACAGAACACCAAGCATATTTAACCCAAAGAAGACTACTTCAAGGCATTTAAAAATCAAACTCCCAAGGGTCAACAATAAAGGGTTCTAAAAGCAGCAAGAGTAAACAAACAAACAAACAAACAAACAAACAAACAAACGTACAATGGAGCTCCAATACAAATGGCTGCAGAATTTTTTATGAAAAATTTACAGACCAGGAGATAATGACATGACATGGCATATTAAAAATGCTGAAGGGGAAAAAAAGCCTTTCAGCCTAGAATAATATATCAGGTAAAAATATCCTTCAAATATGAAGGGGAAATAAAGATTTTCCCAGACAAACAAAAGCTGAGCAATGTCATCAATACCAATCCCATCCTACGATAAATGATAAAGGGTACACACTTCAATCAAAAAGAAAAGAAATTAATGAGCGCTAAATAATCACCTGAAGGTAGAAAGTTTACTGGTAATCATAAGTACACAGAAAAACACAGAATATTTTAAGTAGTTTAACACTGTAACTGTGCTGTGTAAACAACTCAAGTAGAAAGACTGAATGAAAGAAAATAAAAAATAATAGCTACAACTTTTCAAGACATAGTCAGTACAAGAAAATATAAATATGAAAAAGGTAAAAAGAGAGGCGACAAAGTTAAGGCAAGTTTATTTGTTTTCTTTTTGCGTGTTTGTGTGTTTGTTTGTGTGAATAGTGTTAAGTTGTTATCAGCTTTTGTTTCTCTGGGAGTTTTTATTTCCCCTTCATGTTTGAAGGATATTTTCTTTGGATATATTATTAGAGGGTAATAGTTTTTTTTTTGTTTGTTTCTTTGTTTTTTTCCTTCAGCACTTTAAATATATCATGCCATTCTCTCCTTCTCTCCTGAACTGTAAGGTTTCCACTAAAAAGTCTGCTGTCAGATGTATTGGAGCTCCATTGCATGTTATTTATTTCTTTTCTCTTGCTGCTTTTAGGACCCTTTCTTTATCTTTGACCTTTGGGAGTTTGAATATTAAATGTTTTGAGGAAGTCTTCTTTGGGTTAAATCTGCTTGGTGTTCTAAAACGTTCTCATACTTGGATATTGATACCATTCTCTAGGTTTGTGAAGTTCTCAGTTATTATTCCTTTGAATAAAATTTCTACCACTATGACTTTTTCTACCTATTCTTTAAGGCCAATAACTCTTAAATTTGCCCTTTGAGGCTATCTTTTAAGTTGCAGGCATGTTTTGTTAGTTTATTCATTGTATTCTATTTCCTTTTGTCTCCTCTGACTGTATATTTACAAATAGCCTCTCTTCAAGTTATCCATTCTACTATTTGATAAATTCTGCTATTGAAAGAGGATGTGGGAGGCTGAGGCAGGAGGATGGCTTGAATCTGGGAGACGGAGGTTGCATTGAGCAGAGATTGTGCCATTGCATTCCAGCCTGTCTCAAAAAAAAAAAAAAAAAAAAAAGGAAAAGAAAAGAAAAGAAAAGAAAAAAGACGGATGCATTCTTCAGTATGCCAATTGCATTTTAGCTCCAGAATTTTTGCTAGTTTATTTTTAATTATTTCAATCTCTTTGTTAAGTTTATCTGATAGCATTCTAAATTTCTTCTCTTTGTTATCTTAAATTTCTTTGAGTTTCCTCCACACAAGTACTTTGAATTATCTGTCTGAAAGGTCGCATGACTCTGTTTATCCAGGGTTGGTTCCTGGGGACTTATTTAGGTCATTTGGTGAGGTCATGTTTTCCTGGAATGTCTTGATATGTGTAGATATTCTTTAATGCCTGAGCATTTAAGAGTTAGGTATAGTAGTCCTCACTGTCTGAGCTTGTTTGCATCCATCCTCTCTGGAAAAGATTTCCAGATATTCAGAAGTACTTTGATGTTGTGATCTAAGCTGTATCTGCTTTTGGGGGCACCTCAAGCCCAGTAATGTTGTGGTTCTTGTAGACTCCAAGAGGTTTCAACTTAATATTCTTGTATAAGATCTGGGAGAATTCTCTAGATTACCAGGGAAAGACTCTTGTTCTCTTACCTTACTTTCTCCCAAAGAAAGAGTCTCTCTTTCTCTCTCTCTCTCATTCTCTCTCTAACTCTCTCCTGAGCCACCTAAATCTGGGGGTGGAATGACACAAGCACCCCTGTGGCCATCACTAATATGACTGTGCTGGGTCAGAACAAAGCCAGAATAACACTGGGCCTCATACAAGGTCTGCTATAACCACTACCTGGATACTACCTAAGTTTCCTCAAGGCCCTGAAGCTCTATAGTAAGCAGGTTGTAAAGTCAGTCAGGCCTGTGTTCTTTCCTTCAGGGCAGGGATTCCCACAGTCCCAAGGTGGTTCCAGAGGTGCCAAGAACTAGAGTCAAAAACATTAAAATCTACCTGGTGTTCTATTGTACTATTCCTGAGCTGGCACTCAGGCCAGATGATGCAGTCCTTCTCACTCTTCCCTCTCCTTTCCAAAGAAAGAGGAGCCTTACCCCATGGCTACTGCCACAGCAGGTCCCCAAGGAGTAATGCCAGACTACTACCAATGTTTCCTTAAGGCCAAGTGCTCTGCAGTCAGCTTGTGATGAATACTGCCTGGCTTATGACTCAACTTCTGGGCAGTGGACTCCCCTCTGGCCCTAAGCAGGTCTTAAAATGTCCAAGGGCCATGATCTGGAATCAGAAAACCCACATGATCGCTTGGTGTTCTACCTCTCTGTGGCAAAGTTCGTACCTAAGGTGCAAGACAAAGTCACCTTTACTTTTCCCTCTGTTTTGTCAAGCAGAAAAAGTCTCTTGCCACAGTCACCACAGCTGGAAATGTGCTGAGTCTCACCTGAAGCCAGCGAGTCTCAAAGCCTCACCCAAGTTCCTCGATGTAGTAGTATCACTTCTGGTTATTCTGGGCTCAAGGGGTCTTAAGTCAGCTATGATGAATTCTAGCAAAACTAAGTCTTTCCTCTCAAGGCAGCAGAGTGTGTTGTTCCATTTTTGCCCAGGGTATGTCTGGAAATGTCATCTGGTTGCTAGGGCCTGGAAAGAGAACCTCATGACCCTCATCATTGCCCTATCCTGCTTTTGCTGAGCTGGTATCCAAGATGCAAGACAAAGTCTCCCCCATTCTTCCCTCTCCTTTTCTAAAGCAGAAGAAAGGAGTCTCTTTTGGAGCTGGAAGCTGTGCAACCTAGGATTTTGGAAATGCCAGCACTCCCTTAGTTGCTCCATCTAGTGTCTCAGTAGGTCATGTCCCCCCGTCTCCTGGTTCTTGGCTCAGTTCAGCACTAAGACTCACCTAATGTTGCAGTCCTTTGGCCTAGACTGCCTTTCAAATTTTTTTAGAGTCTATATCAGTTTATCCTACGGTGATGAGGTCTGTGAGAGGCCAGGCTTCCACCTCTGAGATAAGCAATTCCCCTCAGGCTAGGGCTGGTTTAAATGCTCCCTCCATTGGTGGGCGGCAGCTGAGTTTGGTCCAGTTTTTATTTCTGGTATAACAGGAAGGCATTGAGTTCAATGTCTCAAAATTGCTGCACTTTCCCTCCCCCAGCACACAGAATCATTTTCTGCACCACACCTTGGATGCCAGTTGGTGGGGGAGGGATGGCATTGGTGATTCAGTACTGGTTTTTCTACCTCTTCAGTGCCTCTCAGCGATATGAAGTTAAGACCAGGTATATAAGTCCTCCCTTGATTATTGGTTCTTAAGAAGGTGCTTTTCTTGTGTATATATTTGTTAAATTGCTGCTTTTGCAGTGGAGATGGTTAATGGAACCTTGTAGTTTGCCATCTGGCAATGTTTCCATCCCAAGAATAAGTTACTTATTATCTTGATAAAGCAGAAGACAGTTTATTAAAATGTATAGGTCTTCTGCCTCCTGCTAAGATGAAGTAACAGGGTAATCCCACCTATAAGCACTGAAAAACCAGACAAAATAACAGTATGAATGTATCAGATTACTGAATGAAAAAGGTTTTAGTCACTTGCTCTGCACTGGGTGGCAAAGTCAGGCCAAGACTGGTAGTCCATCTGAAATAAAAATAGGAAGCTAGGATTCTGCCTAAGCCAAAGTGGCTAGAGTTCATTGAGCACATTATTAAGAAGAGAAATATGTCTGAGAGTGAGAAATCCCAAAATCTTCAAACATTCTCTGCCAAATATCAGGTGAATATAGACCAGTGTATATATGTGAGAAAAATATCCAACCCCAAGGAAAAGCTACTTGAAGAGAGTAGAGGAAGCTCTGGTTGGAGCTAACTTAGGTCTTAAAATAGTGCCTGTTTCCAAAACCCAGAGTGGAACACACAATAATTCAGAAGACAAAAGATAATGTACCTGGTTCCCCAGTAGTGGGGAAGAATTAACTCTAGATTAAATGAAACTCTGATTCTGCCTAACCTAGCTTAAAAGCAAGATCTAAAAGAGTAAAACTGTTTCCAAACGATTTAACCATGTCCCACAAAATTATATATATATGCACAACACCCAATATATAAAATTAACAATGTGTAAAATGATAGATTGAACTTTTAAAGATAAAAACTGTAAAGTATAAGATTAAAACTACACTTCCGTTAATAACAGATAAGGCATTGTAAACAAAAATCAGTGAAATTCAAACCAGCAAAATAATCTATCAAAAGGGAAACACACGGGTGAAAAAAAAGAATGGAAAAAATAAACAGTATATCATGAAACTCTGGAAAAATTTTAAGTAACCAACCATACATGCAATTAAAGCCTTTGAAAGAGAGGAAAGAACAAAATGGCTTGGAAAAAATAAAAAAAAAAAAGAGCTGAACATTTTCCAAATAAGATGAATACTGTAAACCAACAAATTCAGGATATTAACTGAACCCCAAGAAAAAAGAAACATGAGTAGTACTATGCCAATCTACATCATCATCAACTTGCTAACAACCAGTAAGAAAGGGAAAAATCTTAAAAACAGCTATAGGGAAATGAACTGTTGTGTACAAAGAAATAAAGATAAGATGGCACCAGATTGTTTATCACATACAGTGCAAGCTAAAAGATGTTGGAGAAACATATTTTAAGTTCTGAATTGAAAAAAAAAAATGTCAGCTGGCAATTCTTTATCCAGTAAAATTTTTCAAAATTTCAATATTTCAAAAATAATGAGATTAAAACTTTTTCAGACATATAATACCTGGAAAAAATGTTTACCAATAAGCCTACATTATGAGAAATTTAAAGAAAGTCCCTTAGGCAAAAGAAAATGATGACAGAGAGAATATGAATCTACACAAAGGGAGAAAAAGCACTGGAAATAAGAAATACATAATTAAATATATAAAATTTTTATTATTTATATTTTTAAAAGGCAATTGACTGTATCAGCAAATTAGTAACAAATTATTCCTAGGTTTACTATAGGTAGAATTAAAAAGACAAAAACTAAGGGAGAAGTAGAAGTATACTTTTGCAATGTTGTAATGCTATAAGTGAAGTAGTATAATATCAGTACACAGTAGGTTGTACAGGAAACTCAATGTGAGTAGAAAGGAAATGAAGAGAATGAAAGAATAAATCAATAAAACAAACAAGTATTAATAATGAGTATCAATATAGTCAAAATCTAGTTCTTTAAAATAAAATTTTAGCCAGACTTATCCGGAAAAAAAAAATGACACAAATTTTCATATCAGAAAGGAGAAAGATGATATCACCACATATTCTACAGATATTAAATATGTTAAAAAGGATGATAAGAGAATATCAACAAATTCATGCTAATTTGATAATTTAAATATAAGAAACATTTTATTAAAAGACATCAAGTACAAAGCTTACTCAAGAATAAATTGAGAATAGATTACTCAAGAATACTGGGTGTGGTGGCTCACACCTGAAATCCCAGCTCTTCGGGAAGCATAGGCGGGCAGATCACTAGAGGTCAGGAATTCGAGACCAGCCTAGCCAACATGGCAAAACCCCATCTCTACTAAAAATACAAAAAATTAGCCGGGTGTGGTGTCGGGTGCCTGTAATTCCAGCTACTCAGGAGGCTGAGGCAAGAGAATCACTTGAACCTGGGAGGCGGAGATTGCAGTGAGCTGAGATCCTGCCACTGCATTCCAGCCTCTGTGACAGAAGAGGAATAATAGATAACCTGAATAAACTTTTGTATATTAAATAAATTGAATTTTTAGTTGCAAAAGTTCCCACAAAGAAAATCACAAGCACAGATGGCTTTACTCATGAATTCTATCAAACACTTAACAAAGAAGTCATGCAAATATATGTGAATTACTCAATAGAGTTAAAGATGATATAATATATTCCAACTCATTCTAGGAGGCCAGCATTCTAAGAGGTGAGTGATACCGAAACTACACAAAGATATTACAAGAAAATTACAGAAAAATATCACTCATAAATAGTTATGCAAAATGTATTAACCTTTAGGAAACCTAATCACTCCATATTAAGAAATAATACAGCATGACAAAGTTGATTTATCCCAGGATTGCAAGGATTATTTAACAGTCAAAAATAAATAAATGAAATTAAACATAATAACAGCCTAATGCAGAACATCCATATGATCATCCAAATACGTGCATAAAGATTCAACATCCATTCCTGATTAAAACTTGCAACAAACATACAGATATCACATACTTATAGTTGAAAAACTGTATGCTATTTACAAAAAGCATAAACCAGGATAATGTGTGCACTTTCACCACTTCTGCTCAACATTGTCCTAGAAGTTTTACCCAATGCAATATTGCAAGAAATGGGGTGGAAAGGGCTTCCAGATTGTAAAGAAGTATGTAAAGCTTTATTTATTCACAGATGACATGATCATCTACACAGAAAAGTCTATACAATCTACAAAAAGATTGCTAAATCTTATTAGTGAGTTTAGTACAGTTACAAGATTCAACATAAAAAATACAAATTGTATTTCTTTATAATATCAATAAGCTATTGAAAAAATGAATTTAAAATATTATTTGTAATAGAATAAAATCATAAGATGATACATCTCACAAAACATGTGTATACTGAAATCTACAGGTCACTGAAAATTAAAGATATTTCCTTCTTTTATAAGGCTTAATTTTATAAACACACACACATCAAATTATGTTTATCCATTCCATCTATAGGCAGATACTTAGGTTGTTTTCACATTTTGGCGATTGTGAATAATGCTGCAATGGACATAGGACTGCATATATCTCTTCAATATAGTGATATTTTTTCCTTTGTATGTATACCTAGAGATAGGATTGTTGGATCATATGATAGCTCTATTTTTAATTGTTTGAGCAACCTCCATACAGTTTTCCATAATGGATATACCAATATACCTTTCTACCAACAGTATATAAAAGTTCCTTTTTCCTTACATTCTAACCAACACTTGTTATCCATGAACTTTTTAAGTTATAGACATTCTAACAGGTGTGAGCTGATCTATCATTGTGGTTTTGATTTTCATTTCCCTGATGGGTAGTAACGCTGAATGTATTTTTATATACTTATTAGTCATTTGTATGTCTTCTTTAAGAAATGTCTATTCATGTCATTTCCCCTTTTTTAATTGAGTATTTGGAATTTTTTGCTTTTGAGTTGTAATTTTATATTTTTGGACATTAACTTCTTATTGGGTATGTTGTTTACAAACATCTTTGATTCCATAGGTTGCTTTTCCATTTTGTTGATTGCTTCCTTTGATGTGGAGCAGCTTTTTAGTTTGATGTAGTTCCACTTGTTTATTTTTTATTTTCTTGCCTTTAGTTTTGTTACTGGAAAGGGGTCCTGATCCAGACCCCAAGAGAGGGTACTTGGATCTTGTACAAGAAAGAATTTGAGGTGAATACATAGAGTAAAGTGAAAGCAAGTTTATTAAGAAAGTAAAGAATTAAAGAATGGCTACTCCAAAGGCAGAGCAGCCCCGAGGGCTGCTGGTCGGCTATTCTTATGGATCTTTCTTTAGTATATGCTAAACAAGGGGTGGATTATTCACAAGTTTTCCAGGAAAGGGGTGGGCACTTTCCAGAACTGAGTGTTCCTCCTCTTTTTTGACTACATAGAGTAACTTAAGGACATTGCCATGGCATCTGTAAACTGTCATTGCACTGGTGGGAATGACTTTTAGTATTCTAATGCATTAAACTTAGTGTATAATGAGCAGTGAGGATGATCAGAGGTTACTTTTGTTGCTATCTTGGTTTTGGCGGGTTTTGGCCTGCTTCTTTAATGCAACCTGTTTTAACAGCAACATCTTTGTGACCTGTATCTTTTGCCGACCTCCTATTTCATTCTGTGACTTAAAATGCTTTACCTCCTGGGAATGCAACCCAGTAGGGCTCAGACTTATTTTACTTGGGCACCTATTCATGATATAGTCACTCTGATTCAATTGCCTCTGACAGTTTTTATTTCAAATACAGGAAGCCTTTGATAAGACCAATGTCAAGGATCTCTTCCACTATGTTTTCTTCTAGGAGTTTTAGGTTACATTACTTACATTTAATTTTTAAATCCATTTAAAATGGATTTTTGTGTGTGATGTAAGAAAAAGTTTCAATTGCATTATTTTGCATATGGATATCCACTTTTTCTAACAGTATTTATTGTAGAGTCTGTCCTTTTCCATTTTGCATTCTTGATGCCTTTATTAAAAAAAAGTTGACTATGTATGTGTAAGTTTTGATATGGTTTGGATGTTTTGTCCCCTCCAAATCTCGTGTTGAAATTTGGCCTCCAATGTAATAGGTAGCCCTAGTGGGAGGTGTTTGAGTCATGAGGGAAGATTCCTCATGAATAGCTTGGTGATATCCTTGCAGTAATAAGTGAGATTTGCTCTATGAGTTTATATGAGATCTGGTTGTTTAAGAGTGTAGCACCTTTCCTCTCTCTTTCTCTGGCTCTCACTGTGTGATAGGTCTGTTCCCCCTCCACCTTCTGCCATGACTGAAACCTTCCTAAGGTTGTCACTAGAAGCTGAGCAGATGGCAAAACCAAGCTTTCAGTACAGTCTGAATAATCATGAACTAATTAACCCTTTTTTCTTTATAAATTGCCCAGCCTCTGGTATTAACTTATAGTGGTGTAAAAATGGACTAACACAGAAAATTGGTACTGAGGAGTGGGACATTGCTAAAAAGATACCTGAAAATGTGAAAGAAACTTTGGAATGGGGTAATAGGCAGAGGTTGGAAGAGTTTGGAGGGCTCAGAAGAAGACAGGAAGATAAGGAAACGTTTGGAACTTCTTAGATAATTTTTAAGTGATTGTGGACAAAATGCTGATAGAAATATGGACAGTAAAGGCCAAGCTGATGAGGTCTCACATGGAAACGAAGTGATTTGAAACTGGAGTTAAGGTCACCAATGTTACATTCTAGGAAAGAGCTTGCCTGCAAAGTGTTCACATCCTAGGGTTCTGTGGGTGTTTGAAATGAAGAGTGATGACTAAGCATATCTAGCAAAAAAAAATTCTAAGCAACAGAGTGTTCAAGATTTGGTCTGGTTCCTTTCATGTATGTCCGTGTGAAGAGACCACCAAACAGGCTTTGTGTGAGCAATACAGCTGTTTATTTCACCTGGGTGCAGGTGGGCTGAGTCCGAAAAGAGAGTCAGCGAAGGGAGATGGGGTGGGGCCATTTTATAGGATTTGGGTAGGTAAAGGAAAAAGGGGGGTTGTTCTCTGGCAGGCAGGAGTGGGGGTCACAAGGTACTCAGTGGGGGAGCTTTTGAGTCAGGATGAGCCAGGAGAAGGAATTTCACGAGACAATGTCATCAGTTAAGGCAGGAACAGGCCATTTTCACTTCTTTTGTGGTGGAATGTCATCAGTTAAGGCAGGAACCGGCCATCTGGATGTGTACGTGCAGATCACAGGGGATATGATGGCTTAGCTTGGGCTCTGAGGCCTGACATTCCTGTCTTCTTATATTAATAAGAAAAATAAAATGAAATAGTGGTAAAGTGTTGGGACGGTGAAAATTTTTTGGGGGTGTTATGGAGAGATAATGGGCGATGTTTCTCAGGGCTGCTTCGAGCGGGATTAGGGGCGGTGTGGGAACCTAGAGTGGGAGAGATTAAGCTGAAGGAAGATTTTGTGGTAAGGGGTGATATTGTTGGGTTGTTAGAAGAAACATTTGTCATTTAGAATTATTGGTGATGGCCTGGATACAGTTTTGTATGAATTGAAAAACTAAATGGAATAAGAGAAGGAGAAAAACAGGTATTAAAGGACTAAGAATTGGGAGGACCTAGGACATCTAATTAGAGAGTGCCTAAGGAGGTTCAGCATAGCCTTGCCAGTAAAGATTATTTATTTACTTTGAGAGTTAAGAATGGCGGTTTTGGGATAGCACCAGGAGATATCAGCTGTGCTGGCTTGGAGAAACAGTGTAAACTGGCAGTGTAAACAAGAGCAGAGCATGTATGAGTAGTTGAAAACGGTGAATAGGAGTATGACTAGACAGAAGATAGTAGGGATGACAAGTTTTTTGGGGCACAGTCCAAGTTGGTCTGGTGTCTGGAATGAGACTGGGGCCTAATAAAAAGGAGCTCAAATGGGCTGTACCTTGTAGCACTCCGAGGACAGGCCTGAATTCTGAGAAGCGACAGTGGTAAAAGTATTGTCCAGTCCTTTTTAAGTTGGTGGCTGAGCTTGATGAGGTGTGTTTTTAAAAGACTTTTAGTCCGTTCTACTTTTCCTGAAGACAGAGGACCGTAAGGGATATAAAGGTTTCACTGAATACTAGGAGCCTGAAAAAGTGCTTGGCTGATTTAACTAATAAAGGCTGGTCTGTTATCAGACTGTGTAGAGGTGGGAAGGCTAAACTGAGGAATTGTGTCTGACAGAAGGGAAGAAATGACTGCGGTGGCCTTCTCAGACCCTGTAGGAAAGGCCTCTACCTATCCAGTGAAAGTGTCTACCTAGACTAAGAGGTATTTTAGTTATCTGACTTGGGGCATGTTGAGTAAAGCTAATTTGCCAGTCCTGGGTGGGGGCAAATCCTTGAGCTTGATGTGTAGGGAAGGGAGGGGGCCTGAATAATCCTTAAGAAGTAGTAGAATAGCAAATGGAACACTGAGAAGTTATTTCCTTGAGGATAGATTTCCACGATGGAAAGGAAATGAGAGGTCTTAAGAGGCGGGCTAGTGGCTTTGTACTATAGCATAGCCTGCCTTTGCTGGCGTGTGGTGATTAGGCCTGGTGGAACTGCCATCAATAAATCAACCGTGATCAGGGTGAGGAACAGGAAAGATGGAAATATGGGGAAATGGGGTGAATGTCAGGTGGATCAGAGAGATACAGTCATGGGGGTCAGGTGTGGTATCAGGAATAATGTGGGAGGCCGGATTGAAGTCCGGGCCAGGAACAATGGTAATTGTGGGACTTAACAAAGAGTGAGTGAGTACAGCTGAAGGAGCCGGGGAGCAGAAAGTATATGCATCAGGTATGAGAAAGAAAATAGATTTTGGAAGTTATGAGAAATGTAGAGAGTAAGTTGAACATAGTTTGTAATTTTGAGGGCCTCTAAAAGTATTAAAGCAGCAGCAGCCTCTGCATGCGGACATGAGGGCTAGGCTAAAACAGTAAGGTCAAGTTGTTTGGACAGAAAGGCTACAGGGTGCGGTCCTGGCTCTTGTGTAAGAATTCTGACCACACTAACCATGCCTAGGAAGGAAAGGAGTTGTTGTTTTGTAAGGCATTGAGGTTTGGGAGATTAATCGGACACGATCAGCAGGGAAAGCACGTGTGTTTTCATGAGAATTATGCCGAGATAGGTAACAGATGAGGATGAAATTTGGGCTTGACTGAAGTAACGGGGGCTGTCTGTGAAGGCTTGCAGCAGTACAGCCCAGGTAATTTGCTGAGCCTATTGGATGTCAGGGTCAGTCTAAGTGAAAGTGAAGAGAGGCTGGGACGAGGGGTGCAGGGGAATAGTGAAAAAAGCATCTTTAAGATCGAGAATGGAATAGTGAGTTGTGGAGGAAGGTATTGAGGACAAAAGAGTGTAAGGGTTGGGCACCACAGGATGGATAGGCAAAACAATTTGGTTGATAAGGCGCAGATCCTGAACTAATCTGTAAGACTTGTCCAGTTTTTGGACAGGTAAAATGGGGGATTTGTAAGGAGAGTTTATAGGTTTTAGAAGCCCATGCTGTAGCAGGCAAGTGATAACAGGCTTTAATCCTTTTAAAGCATGCTGTGGGATGGGATATTGGCATTGAGCGTGGTAAAGGTGATTAGGTTTTAATGGGATGGTAATGGGCATGTGATCGGTTGCCAGGGAAGGAGTACAGATGTCCTATACTTGTGGGTTAAGGTTGGGGGATATGAGAGGAAGATGCGAAAGAGGCTTTGGGTTGGGGAGAAGGGTGGCAATGAGATGCAGCTGTAGTCCAGGAATAGTCAGGGAAGCAGATAATTTGGTTAAAGTGTCTCAGCCTAATAAGGGAACTGGGCAGGTGGGGATAACTAAAAAGGAGTGCTTAAAAGAGTATTGTCTAAGTTGGCACCAGAGTTGGGGAGTTTTAAGAGGTTTAGAAGCCTGGCTCTCAATACCCACAACAGTTATGGAGGCAAGGGAAACAGGCCCTTGAAAAGAAGGTAATGTGGAGTGGGTAGCCTCTGTATTGATTAAGAAGAGGATGGACTTACCCTCCACTGTAAGAGTTACCTAAAGCTTGGTGTCTGTGATGGTCTATGGGGCTTCCGAGGCGATCGGGCAGCGTCAGTCTTCAGTCGCTAAGCCAAGAAGGAGTCAGTCAGAGAGCCCTGGGCCAGAGTTCCAGGGGCTCTGGGAGTGGCTGCCAGGTGAGTTGAACAGTCCAATTTCCAGTGGGGTCCCGCACAGATGGGACAAGGCTTAGGAGGAATCCTGGGCTGCAGGCATTCCTTGGCCTGGTGGTCAGATTTCTGGCACTTGTAGCAAGCTCCTGGGGGAGGAGATTCTGGAGGAACACCTGGCCGCTGCGGTTCAGGCGTTTGGAAGTTCTTGTGTGCTGGAGATGTGGCTGGGGTTTGTCTCACAGTGGAGGCAAGGAATTGCAACTTTTTTCTATTATTGTACACCTTGAAGGTGAGGTTAATTAAATCCTGTTGTGGAGTTTGATGGCCAGAATTTAATTTTTGGAGTTTTATTTAATGTTGGGAGCAGATTTGGTAATAAAATGCATTTTGAGAATAAGACGGCCTTTTGACATTTTAGGGTCTAGGGCTGTAAAGTGTCTCAGGGTTGCTGCCAAACAAGTCATGAACTGGGATGGATTTTTATATTTGATGAAAAACAGCCTAAACGCTATCTGATTTGGGATAAAGAAAAAGGAGCATTAACCTTGACTATGCCTTTAGCTCCAGCCACCTTTTTAAGAGTAAATTGCTGGGCAGGTGGGGGAGGGCTAGTCACAGAATGAAACTGTAAGCTGGACCGGGTGTGAGGAGGAGAGGTGATAAAAGGATTATAGGGTGGAGGAGCAGAGGCTGAGGAAGAATTGGGACCTAGCTCAGCCTGGTAAGGAGCAGCCTGGGGAGGAGGGGAGAGGTCAGATGGGTCTGTAGAAAAGGAAGATTAGAAATACTCAGCGATGCTTGGGGCTGGGACTGAGGGGACAGGTGGGAGGGAAAGAAGGAAGATTTGGGATGAGTTGCACTGGGCACAGAGACTAGGGAGGGACTGATGTGTAAAAGAATGCCTGGACGTCAGGCACCTCAGACCGTTTGCCCATTTTATGACAAGAATTATTTAGATCTTGCAGGATGGAAAAATTGAAAGTGCCGTTTTCTGGCTATTTGGAACTACTGTCGAGTTTGTATTGGGGTCAAGAGGCATTGCAGAAGAAAATAAGATGCTTAGATTTTAGGTCAGGTGAGAGTTGAAGAGGTTTTAAGTTCTTAAGAACACAGGCTAAGGGAGAAGAAGGAGGAATGGAGGGTGGAAGGTTGCCCATAGTGAAGGAGGCAAACCCAGAGAAAAGAGAGAGTAGAGACATGGAGGGAAGGGGTTTAGGAGTTCTTACCCTCCAGAAAAGCAGGAAAGCGGTCGGGGCACAGAGATACGAGGTCAGGGTGTGGAAATAAGGGATCAGGGCACAGAGATATAAGGGGTTGGGGTGCTTACCCCTCCCCCAGAAAAGCAGGACTTGCCACTAAGGGTGAAGGCAAAGGGTTTGGGGGTTTCTTGCCCCCCAGAAAGGCAAAGAAGGGGTAGAGACACGGAGAGAAGGGGCTGGGGTACTTGCCCCTTCCCCAGAAAAGCAGGACTTGCTGCTAAGGGTGCAGGACCAACACAGACGTCACTGCGTGGTCTGACACCTCTGAAACCTGGGTGAATAATTAGAGAGGTGTCCCTGCAATGATTAAACACCAAGGGAAGGCTGCCTTCCCTAGTCTGTGACTGGCGCCGGAGTTTTGGGTCCACAGATAAAACGTGTCTCCTTTGTCTCTACCAGAAAATGAAAGGAATTGAAATTAAGAGAAGGGAGAGATTGAAGTGTGGCGCCAAGATTGAAAGGAGAAACAGGTTGAGGGATAGTGAGGGAGACTGGAGAAGAGAGTAAAAAGAGGCTGCTTACCGGATTTGAAATTGGTGAGATGTTTCTTGGGCTGGTCAGTCTGAGAACCTGAGGTTGTAGGTGGATCTTTCTCATGGAGCAAAGAGCAGGAGGACAGGGCATTGATTTCCCAAGGGAGGTCCCCCGATCTGAGTCATTGCACCAAATTTCATGCGTGTCCGTGTGAAGAGACCACCAAACAGGCTTTGTGTGAGCAATAAAGCTGTTTATTTCACCTGGGTGCAGGTGGGCTGAGTCCGAAAAGAGAGTCAGTGAAGGGAGATGCGGTGGGACCGTTTTATAGGATTTGGGTAGGTAAAGGAAAAAGGGGGTTTGTTCTCTGGCAGGCAGGAGTGGGGGTCACAAGGTACTCAGTGGGGGAGCTTTTGAGCCAGGATGAGCCAGGAGAAGGAATTTCACAAGACAATGTCATCAGTTAAGGCAGGAACAGGCCATTTTCACTTCTTTTGTGGTGGAATGTCATCAGTTAAGGCAGGAACCGCCCATCTGGATGTGTATGTGCAGATCACAGGGGATATGATGGCTTAGCTTGGGCTCAGAGGCCTGACAGTTCCTTCCTTCTAAAAGTCTATAATAATATATGAAAGCAATTTCTCAAAGTTGGAAATTATAATGGAAACAGAGTGTAAAAGTTTGGAAAATTTGCAGCCTGGCATTGTGATAGAGAAACAAAGAGCATTTTCAGTAGAGGAATTAAAATGGGCAGTGGAGCAACCACTTGCTAGAGATATTTGCATGACTAAAAGGGATCCAAGTGCTAATATTCAAGACAATAGTATAAAGACCTCAAAGACATCTCAGAGATCTTTGAGGCAGACCCTCCTGTCAAAGGCCCAAAGGACCAAGGACAAAAGAATGGTTTTGTGGGCAAGGTTCAAAGCCCCACTGCCCTGTGCCGACTTGGAGCACTGCTCCATGCATCCCTGCTGCTCCAGTTCCAGCCATGGCTCAGAGGGCCCTAGGTATAACTCAAGCCGCTGCCTTGCAGAGCTCAAGCCATAAGCCTTGGCAGCTTCCATGTGGTATTTATCCTGCAGGTGCACAGAATGAAAAAGTGAAGGAGGCTTGGCACCTTCAACCTAGATTTCAGAGAACATGTAGGAAAGCCTCAGGGCCAGGCAGAAACCTGTCATAGAGGCAAAGCCTCAACAGAGAGAATTTACTAGAGCAGTGCCAAAGGGAAATGTGGGGTTGAAATCCTTACACAGATTTCCTGTGGTTTTGTCATACAATCTTAAGGATTTCTTTTCTATGTCTGTGAAAAATGCTATAGTAATTTTGATAGAAATTATGTTGACATTGTAGATTACTTAGGTTGTTTTGCTTTGAATGTGTCCTCAAAGTTCAGGTGTTTGAAATTTAATCCCCAATGCAACAGTGTTGAGAGGTAAGACCTTAAAAATATAATAAGTTCATAAAGTTTTGCCATCATGAATGAATTAATGCCGTTATCATGATAGTGGTTTAGTTATCACAGAAATGAATTGTTGAAAAAAGGATGAGTTCATCTTCTTCTTGCTTTCCCTCTTTCCATAGTCCTGAATTTCCCAACCCCTAGAACTGTGATCCAAATAGGTTTTTCTTCATTATAAATTACCCAGTCTTAGGTGTTTTTTATCACAGCACAAAATGGACTAAGGTAGTATAGACATTTGTACATTATTAATTTTTCCAGTTTATAAACTTGGGCTATGTTTCTTTTTAAGTCTTCTTTAATTTCTCTTATCAATATTTTATAGTTTTCAGTGTACAGGTTTTATAACTCATTGGTTAAATTTATTTCTATGTATTCTATTATTTCTGATGTTATTCTAAATTTGACTGTTTTTTTTTGGTTTGTTTCCTTATTTGAATAGTTCTTTGTTAGTGCATAGAAATGCAACAGATTTTTGTTTGTTGATTTGTATGCTGCAGCTTTCCTAAATTCATACATTCCTTCTAGAGGTGTTTTGTGCAGTCTACAGGGATGTGTGGGTATGTTTGTGTGTGTATGTGTGTGTGTGTATACACGTATATATATGTACAATATATATACATGTGTATATATATGTACTATATATACGTGTATATATATATGCATATATATGTACAATATATATACGTATATATGTACATATATACGTATATATAATGTACAAATATGTACATTATATAATGTACAAATATGTACAAATATGTACATTATATAATGTACAAATATGTACATTATATAATGTACAAATATGTACATTAAATATGTACATTATATAATGTACAAATATGTACATTATATAATGTACAAATATGTACATTAAATATGTACATTATATAATGTACAAATATGTACATTAAATATGTACATTATATAATGTACAAATATGTACATTAAATATGTACATTATATATTTGTACATTATATAATGTACAGTAACATATAATGTACAAATTTTGCACATTAAATATGTACATGTATGTACATTATATATGTATATATTATGTACAAATATATATACGTGTGTGTAATACACACGTGTATATATATATATATTTGTACATTACTTTTAAAGGTGTTTTGTGCAGTATATAGGGATATACATCCCTCTAGAAGTAATGTATGGAGCTATATCTATCTATACATACACACACACACACACACACACACATACGTATATAATGTCATCTTTAAACAAAGACAATTTAACGTCTTCTTTTATGATTTAGATGTGTTTTTGGTTTTGTTTCTTTTGCTAATTGCTCTGGCTAGAACTTCCAGTATTATGTTAAATAGAAGTGGCAAGAGTGAGCATTCTTGTTTTGTTCCTGATCTTAGAAGAAAAGCTTCCAACTTTTATTTTTGATATTAGCTCTGGGCCTGTAAAATATAGCCTTTACTATGTTGAGGTACTTTTTTTCTATACCTAATTTCTTGAGAGGTTTTCATCATGAAATGATGATGAATTTTTCCATATGCTTTTCCTACATTAATTAAAATGATCATATGCTTTTGTTTTTTAGTCTGTTCAGCTACTGTATTACATTTATTGATTTGCATATATTGAAGCATCCTTGCATCTCAGTAATAAATATCATTTGATTATGGTGTATGATAGTTTTAATGTGTTCTTATATTTGATTTGCTAGCATTTGTTGAAGATGTTTATATCTATGTTCATTAGTCCTACTGGCTTGTAATTTCTTTTTCTGTAATATTCTTGTCTGGGTTTGATACCAGGATGATGCTGTCCTCATAAAATGGGATTGGAAGAATTTTTTATGAGACATTTTTATTATTGATTCAATCTCTTTGCTTGTTACTGGTCTGTTAAGATTCTCTGCCTTCATGATTCAGTGTTGATTAGATTATATGATTCTAGGAATTTATTAATTGCTTTTAAGTTATCCAGTTTGTTGGTGTATAATGGTTCATAATAGTCTCATTATCCTTTGCATTTTAGTGGTATCAGTTGTAATGGTTTCTCCTTAATTTCAGATTTTATTTATTTGAGTCTTTTTTTTCTTAGTCTAGTTAAATGTTTATTTTGTTTATCTTTCAAAAACCACCTCTTCTTTTTTTATATTTTCTATTTTTTCTCTAGTCTACATTTTTTCTTCTCAGATCTTATTATTTTACTTCTTCTACTAGCTTTGGGCTTAGGTTGTTCATTGTTTCCTAGTTATTTGAGGTATAACTTTGGGTTTTTATTTGCTTATCTTTCTTCTTTTCTGATGTAAGCATTTGTTGCCTTTCTCTTAGAACTTCTTTTGTGGCATCGCATAAGATTTGACATGTTGTGTTTCAATTTTTGTGTCTCTTAAGATTTTTTAGTGTCCCTTTTAGTTTCTTCTTTGATACAATGATTGCACAGGAATATGTTAATTTCCATGTATTTGTGAATTTTCTAGTTTTCTTCCTTGTTATTGACTTCTAGTTTTATTCCATTGTAATCAGAAAATATAGTTGATATGATCTCAATTTCTTAAACTTTATAGGACTTGTTTTGTGGCTTAAAGTATGGTCAATTCCAGAGAACAAGCCATGTGTGTTTGAAAAAAAAATATGTATTTTGCCGTGGTGGATAGAATCTTTTGTATAAATATGTTAGATTCATTTTGTCTGAAGTGTAGTTCAAGCCCAATGTTAATGTATTGGTTTTCTGTCTGGATGACCTGTCCGTTGCTGAAAGTGTGGTATTGGATTACCCTATTATTATTGTATTTCAGTCTATCACTCTCTTCTGACCGATTAATAATTGTTTTATATGTTTAGGTGCTCCACTGATGGGTACAGATATTTTTATAATTTTTATATCCTCTTGATGAACTCATTCTCTTTTCATTAGAGAATGACCCTGTGTATTTCTTGTTACAGTTTTGACTTAAAGTCTATTTTGTCTGATATAAGTATAGTTATGTCTGCTTTTTTTCAGTTTCCATTTGCATAGAATATCACTTTAAATTTCTGAACTTTTAGTCTATGTATTTCCTTAATGTTGAAGTTAGTCTGCTGTACACAGCAAACAGTTATGTCTTGTGTTCTTTTAAAATGTCTAGGCCTCTATGTATTTTGATTGGAGAATCTAGTTCATTTACATTTAACGAGATGTGCACATTTTGTGGATATGCATATGGTGGCTGTGTGGGGTACCTGTTACAGGCACACACAATTGCTACACCTCAGGAAGCTCCAGGGAAAAGAGATGGAGGGTTCACAGATCAGGAAGATAGGGACTGCAAGGGCAAAAAACAAAAAAAGAAAGAAAAAAAAAAAAACAAAGGAAACAAACAAACAAACCCTGAAGGCACTTGGCATTGAAAGTGGTAGAGTATCTATTACAGCAATATTGATTAATATTTCTTCAGCAAGAAAAGCTGCTGTGTTCCACTGGGGAGCAGGATTTTGGAATCTTTGATGTTGAGCACTGTGAGGGCTCTGCGATAAAAGTTGCAAGGCTTCCGTGACAGTTGTGAGATCTGTTGTGGCCCTCATCTGAGAAGCTGTTGGGTCTTGTGTAGAGGAGGCCACTGCAGAGTACAATGGCTCCCTCTGCACGACTAATATCGAGAGTTCCCAATCTTTTTTTTTTTTTCTGAGCTGTCTCCAGATGTCTTGGCTATGACAGTCTAACCCAGCAATTTGAGTGGGGTTGAAAATAAAGTATGTCTTTCTGGCAGTGTCCCAAAAGTCTAGAGAAGCTGGTTGTTCACTCTGATCTCCTTTTTATTGCAGGGGCATTTTGTGAGCTGGGAATAATGCTTAAAAATAAAATTGTTTTCTCTACTTGTTTTGTGTGGTCATTCTCGGTTTTTGTCTTCTTTGTTGCTTTAGCTGCTTAATTGGGCACAAGCTTTTCTAGAATTATGTTTTCTTTGTGGATAGTTGTTCAATTGTTTTTCCTTATTGTGGGAATAAAGGCTATAATTTACTACTCTGCTGTCTTGTTGAAGTTACTTTCACCTGTTTCATCTTTTTCCCTTGTTCTTTTACTAGAACACTAATGTATAATTTTCACATATTCATAAAATTAGCATATAGTGCTTAAATATCACCCATGCAAAACTTATAAGAAGGCCTTTATTAAATTTCTAAATCAAAAATTATTTATAGGACTTTCAACTGGAATTCAAGAAAAGTGTCATAATGTCAAACTGCCATTTGTCATCCAAGTGATTATTCACAAATCATGTAACCTGAGAACTCAATTTTTTATCTGCAAAATAATGAGATCCATTTAATGTTTAAGGATAATTTCACTTCTATATTATAAATATTATTGTAAGAATATAATTAATATATTAAGTATTATATTTACCACCATAATCTTTTGCTGAAGTAAATATATCATGGCTTCAAGAGCAAGTGGAAGAAATTGTGTGTATAAATTAAACTATTCTGAGAGGCAATTGGCTAAGTGAAACATGGTTTTCACTCTTAACATTTAAAAATGTGGTCTCAGAATGGGCATGGTGGCTCACAGCTGTAATATCAGCCCTTTGGAAAGCCAAGATGAGAGAATTGCTTGAGCCCTGGAAATCAAGACCACCCTGGGCAAAAAAGTGAGACCGACACTGTCTCTCTAAAAAAATAAAATAAAATAAAAATGTGGTCTTTGCAGTATAGCACATCGAATATATCTTTAAACACTGTTTTCTACAAACATAAAGATTTTTGTAGAAATATCTTTATGTTTCTAGAAAGATGTACAAACATGAAGTGTCCTTGATTACCTCATAGTCATTACTGTATTCCTAAATTCCCAATGTATGACACTTGCATATAAATAGAAGTATTTCATACATTTTTATTAATGATTAAATGGATGCATAAGTCCCCACCTCCACTGACCAAGTGTGTTCTGGCAAATAATGTTTCTCAGGAGAAAGGAAATACCATCCAGTAGACAAATTAAACATAAATCTCTCTCTCTGTATATAGACTATAAATTCATTTGGTTTAATGCATGAAAAACTATAACAAAACACTATTTTAAAAATGGGTACTGAAGAGATACCAACCCCTGAATGTTTATGTACCTAATAAATATATATACCTACACTCTACCCACAAAATTAAAAATTAAAAATATAAATAAATACAAACATATAGCTCCTAAGTTTTTAATGATATTTTTAATTGTTATTTAGGGTTCTGAGGTATATGTGCTTGTTTGTTATATAGGTACATTGCATATCATGGGGGTTTGGTGTAGAGATTATTTCAACACCAAGTTAGAAAATACAGTACTCAATAGATAGCTTTCTAATCTTCACCCTCTATCTATCCTCAACCGTCAAGTAGGTCCTATTTTTTTTTTATTATACTTTAAGTTTAAGGGTATATGTGCACATTGTGCAGGTTAGTTACATATGTATACATGTGCCATGCTGGTGCGCTGCACCCACTAACTCATCATCTAGCATTAGGTATATCTCCCAATGCTATCCCTCCCCCCTCCCCCCACCCCACCACAGTCCCCAGAATGTGATATTCCCCTTCCTGTGTCCATGTGATCTCATTGTTCAATTCCCACCTATGAGTGAGAATATTCAGTGTTTGGTTTTTTGTTCTTGTGATAGTTTACTGAGAATGATGATTTCCAATTTCATCCATGTCCCTACAAAGGACATGAACTCATCATTTTTTATGGCTGCATAGTATTCCATGGTGTATATGTGCCACATTTTCTTAATCCAGTCTATCATTGTTGGACATTTGGGTTGGTTCCAAGTCTTTGCTATTGTGAATAATGCCGCAATAAACATACGTGTGCATGTGTCTTTAAAGCAGCATGATTTATAGTACTTTGGGTATATACCCAGTAATGGGATGGCTGGGTCAAATGGTATTTCTAGTTCTAGATCCCTGAGGAATCACCACACTGACTTCCACAATGGTTGAACTAGTTTACAATCCCACCAGCAGTGTAAAAGTGTTCCTATTTCTCCACATCCTCTCCAGCACCTGTTGTTTCCTGACTTTTTAATGATTGCCATTCTAACTGGTGTGAGATGGTGTCTCATTGTGGTTTTGATTTGCATTTCTCTGATGGCCAGTGATGATAAGCATTTTTTCATGTGTTTTTTGGCTGCATAAATGTCTTCTTTTGAGAAGTGTCTGTTCATGTCCTTCGCCCACTTTTTGATGGGGTTGTTTGTTTTTTTCTTGTAAATTTGTTTGAGTTCATTGTAGATTCTGTATATTAGCCCTTTGTCAGATGAGTAGATTGCGAAAATTTTCTCCCATTTTGTAGGTTGTCTGTTCACTCTGATGGTAGTTTCTTTTGCTGTGCAGAAGCTCTTTAGTTTAATTAGATCCCATTTGTCAATTTTGTCTTTTGTTGCCATTGCTTTTGGTGTTTTGGACATGAAGTCCTTGCCCATGCCTATGTCCTGAATGGTAATGCCTAGGCTTTCTTCTAGGGTTTTTATGGTTTTAGGTCTAACGTTTAAGTCTTTAGTCCAGCTTGAATTGATTTTTGTATAAGGTGTAAGGAAGGGATCCAGTTTCAGCTTTCTACATATGGCTAGCCAGTTTTCCCAGCACCATTTATTAAATAGGGAATCCTTTCCCCATTGCTTGTTTTTCTCAGGTTTGTCAAAGATCAGATAGTTGTAGATATGCGGCATTATTTCTCAGGGCTCTGTTCTGTTCCATTGATCTATATCTGTTTTGGTACCAGTACCATGCTGTTTTGGTTACTGTAGCCTTGTAGTATAGTTTGAAGTCAGGTAGTGTGATGCCTCCAGCTTTGTTCTTTTGGCTTGGGATCGCCTTGGCGATGCGGGCTCTTTTTTGGTTCCATATGAACTTTAAAGTAGTTTTTTCCAATTCTGTGAAGAAAGGCATTGGTAGCTTGATGGGGATGGCATTGAATCTGTAAATTACCTTGGGCAGTATGGCCATTTTCATGATATTGATTCTTCCTACCCATGAGCATGGAATGTTCTTCCATTTCTTTGTATCCTCTTTTATTTCCTTGAGCAGTGGTTTGTAGTTCTCCTTGAAGAGGTCCTTCACATCCCTTGTAAGTTGGATTCCTAGGTATTTTATTCTCTTTGAAGCAATTGTGAATGGGAGTTCACTCATTATTTGGATCTCTGTTTGTCTGTTGTTGGTGTATAAGAAGGCTTGTGATTTTTGTACATTGTTTTTGTATCCTGAGACTTTGCTGAAGTTGCTTATCAGCTTAAGGAGATTTTGGGATGAGACAATGGGGTTTTCTAGATATACAATCATGTCGTCTGCAAACAGGGACAATTTGACTTCCTCTTTTCCTAATTGAATACCCTTTATTTCCTTCTCCTTCCTAATTGCCCTAGCCAGAACTTCCAACACTATGTTGAATAGGAGTGGTGAGAGAGGGCATCCCTGTCTTGTGCCAGTTTTCAAAGGGAATGCTTCCAGTTTTTGCCCATTTAGTATGATATTGGCTGTGGGTTTGTCATAGATAGCTCTTATTATTTTGAAATATGTCCCATCAATACCTAATTTATTGAGAGTTTTTAGCATGAAGGGTTGTTGAATTTTGTCAAAGGCCTTTTCTGCATCTATTGAGATAATCATGTGGTTTTTGTCTTTGGCTCTGTTTTTATGCTGGATTACATTTATTGATTTGCGTATATTGAACCAGCCTTGCATCCCAGGGATGAAGCCCACTTGATCATGGTGGATAAGCTTTTTGATGTGCTGCTGGATTCAGTTTGCCAGTATTTTATTGAGGATTTTTGCATCAATGTTCATCAAGGATATTGGTCTAAAATTCTCTTTTTTGGTTGTGTCTCTGCCTGGCTTTGGTATCAGAATGATGCTGGCCTCATAAAATGAGTTAGGGAGGATTCCCTCTTTTTCTATTGATTGGAATAGTTTCAGAAGGAATGGTACCAGTTCCTCCTTGTACCTCTGGTAGAATTCGGCTGTGAATCCATCTGGTCCTGGACTCTTTTTCGTTAGTAAACTATTGATTATTGCCACAATTTCAGCTCCCGTTATTGGTCTATTCAGAGATTCAACTTCTTCCTGGTTTAGTCTTGGGAGAGAGTATGTGTCGAGGAATTTATCCATTTCTTCTAGATTTTCTAGTTTATTTGCATAGAGGTGTTTGTAGTATTCTCTGATGGTAGTTTGTATTTCTGTGGGATCGGTGGTGATATCCCCTTTATCATTTTTTATTGTGTCTATTTGATTCTTCTCTCTTTTTTTCTTTATTATTCTTGCTAGTGGTCTATCAATTTTGTTGATTCTTTCAAAAAACCAGCTCCTGGATTCATTAATTTTTTGAAGGGTTTTTTGTGTCTCTATTTCCTTCAGTTCTGCTCTGATTTTAGTTATTTCTTGCCTTCTGCTAGCTTTTGAATGTGTTAGCTCTTGCTTTTCTAGTTCTTTTAATTGTGATGTTAGTGTGTCAATTTTGGATCTTTCCTGCTTTCTCTTGTGGGCATTTAGTGCTATAAATTTCCCTCTACACACTGTTTTGAATGTGTCCCAGAGATTCTGGTATGTTGTGTCTTTGTTCTCGTTGGATTCAAAGAACATCTTTATTTCTGCCTTCATTTCGTTATGTATCCAGTAGTCATTCAGGAGCAGGTTGTGCAGTTTCCATGTAGTTGAGCGGTTTTGAGTGAGATTCTTATTTCTGAGTTCTAGTTTGATTGCACTGTGGTCTGAGAGATAGTTTGTTATAATCTCTGTTCTTTTACATTTGCTGAGGAGAGCTTTAATTCCGAGTACGTGGTCAATTTTGGAATAGGTGTGTTGTGGTGCTGAAAACAATGTATATTCTGTTGATTTGGGGTGGAGAGTTCTGTAGATGTCTATTAGGTCCGCTTGGTGCAGAGCTGAGTTCAATTCCTGGGTATCCTTGTTGACTTTCTGTCTTGTTGATCTGTCTAATGTTGACAGTGGGGTGTTAAAGTCTCCCATTATTAATGTGTGGGAGTCTAAGTCTCTTTGTAGGTCACTCAGGACTTGCTTTATGAATCTGGGTGCTCCTGTATTGGGTGCATATATATTTAGGATAGTTAGCTTTTCTTGTTGAATTGATCCCTTTACCATTATGTAATGCCCTTCTTTGTCTCTTTTGATCTTTGTTGGTTTAAAGTCTGTTTTATCAGAGACTAGGATTGCAACCCCTGCCTTTTTTTGTTTTTCATTTGCTTGGTAGATCTTCCTCCATCCTTTTATTTTGAGCCTATATGTGTCTCTGCACATGAGATGGGTTTCCTGAATACAGCACACTGATGGGTCTTGACTCTTTATCCAATTTGCCAGTCTGTGTCTTTTAATTGGAGCATTTAGTCCATTTACATTTAAAGTTAATATTGTTATGTGTGAATTTGATCCTGTCATTATGATGTTAGCTGGTGATTTTGCTCGTTAGTTGATGCAGTTTCTTCCTAGTCTCGATGGTCTTTACATTTTGGCATGATTTTGCAGCGGCTGGTACCGGTTGTTCCTTTCCATGTTTAGCACTTCCTTCAGGAGCTCTTTTAGGGCAGGCCTGGTGGTGACAAAATCTCTCAACATTTGCTTGTCTGTAAAGTATTTTATTTCTCCTTCACTTATGAAGCTTAGTTTGGCTGGATATGAAATTCTGGCTTGAAAATTCTTTTCTTTAAGAATGTTGAATATTGGCCCCCACTCTCTTCTGGCTCGTAGGGTTTCTGCCGAGAGATCCACTGTTAGTCTGATGGGCTTCCCGTTGAGGGTAACCCGACCTTTCTCTCTGGCTGCCCTTAACTTTTCTTCCTTCATTTCAACTTTGGTGAATCTGACAATTATGTGTCTTGGAGTTGCTCTTCTCGAGGAGTATCTTTGTGGCGTTCTCTGTATTTCCTGAATCTGAACGTTGGCCTGCCTTGCTAGATTGGGGAAGTTCTCCTGGATAATATCCTGCAGAGTGTTTTCCAACTTGGTTCCATTCTCCCCATCACTTTCAGGTACACCAATCAGATGTAGATTTGGTCTTTTCACATAGTCCCATATTTCTTGGAGGCTTTGCTCATTTCTTTTTTTTCTTTTTTCTCTAAACTTCCCTTCTCGCTTCATTTCATTCATTTCATCTTCCATTGCTGATACCCTTTCTTCCAGTTGATCGCATCGGCTCCTGAGGCTTCTGCATTCTTCACGTAGTTCTCGAGCCTTGGTTTTCAGCTCCATCAGCTCCTTTAAGCACTTCTCTGTATTGGTTATTCTAGTTATACATTCTTCTAAATTTTTTTCAAAGTTTTCAACTTCTTTGCCTTTGGTTTGAATGTCCTCCCGTAGCTCAGAGTAATTTGATCGTCTGAAGCCTTCTTCTCTCAGCTCGTCAAAGTCATTCTCCATCCAGCTTTGTTCCGTTGCTGGTGAGGAACTGCGTTCCTTTGGAGGAGGAGAGGCACTCTGCATTTTAGAGTTTCCCGTTTTTCTGTTCTGTTTTTTCCCCATCTTTGTGGTTTTATCTACTTTTGGTCTTTGATGATGGTGATGTACAGATGGGTTTTTGGTGTGGATGTCCTTTCTGTTTGTTAGTTTTCCTTCTAACAGACAGGACCCTCAGCTGCAGGTCTGTTGGAATACCCTGCCCTGTGAGGTGTCAGTGTGCCCCTGCTGGGGGGTGCCTCCCAGTTAGGCTGCTCGGGGGTCAGGGGTCAGTGACCCACTTGAGGAGGCAGTCTGCCCATTCTCAGATCTCCAGCTGCGTGCTGGGAGAACCACTGCTCTCTTCAAAGCTGTCAGACAGGGACATTTAAGTCTGCAGAGGTTACTGCTGTCTTTTTGTTTGTCTGTGCCCTGCCCCCAGAGGTGGAGCCTACAGAGGCAGGCAGGCCTCCTTTAGCTGTGGTGGGCTCCACCCAGTTCGAGCTTCCCCACTGCTTTGTTTACCTAAGCAAGCCTGGGCAATGGCGGGCGCCCCTCCCCCAGCCTCGCTGCTGCCTTGCAGTTTGATCTCAGACTGCTGTGCTAGCAATCAGCGAGACTCCGTGGGCGTAGGACCCTCCGAGCAAGGTGCAGGATATAATCTCGTGGTGCATCATTTTTTAAGCCGGTCCGAGAAGCACAATATTCGGGTGGGAGTGACCTGATTTTCCAGGTGAGTCCGTCACCCCTTTCTTTGACTCGGAAAGGGAACTCCCTGACCCCTTGCACTTCCCAAGTGAGGCAATGCCTCGCCCTGCTTCGGCTCACGCATGGTGCGCACACCCACTGACCTGCACCCACTGTCTGGCACTCCCTAGTGAGATGAACCCAGTACCTCAGATGGAAATGCAGAAATCACCCGTCTTCTGCGTCGCTCACGCTGGGAGCTGTAGACTGGAGCTGTTCCTATTCGGCCATCTTGGCTCGCGAACTCCAGTAGGTCCTATTTTCTATTGTTCCCTTTTTTTGTGTCGACATTTATTCAAGGTTTAGCTCCCACCTACAAGTGAGAAAATGTGGTATTTGCTTTTTTTTCCTTGCATTAATTTGCTTAGGATAATAGCCTCTTTGTCCATTCATGTTGCTGCAAAAGACATTATTATGCTGTTTTTTATGGCTGCATATTATTCTATGGTGTATATGTACCACAATCACGTTATTCAGTCTATGGTTGATGTGCATTTAGGTTGATTCCAGGTCTTTGCTATAGTGAAGAGTGCTGCAAGAAAGAAACACATGCACATGTTTTCATGGAAGTGTGACTTATATTCCTATGGGTATATATTCGATAATAGGATTTCTGAGTTCAAAGGTACTTCTGTTTTAAGTTCATTAAGAAAACAGCAAAATGTTTTTCAAGTGATTAACCTAATTTTCATTCCTGTCAACAGTGCATAAGCATACACTTTTCTATGAAACCTTACAAGTATCAGCTATTTTTTGACTTTTTAAGAATAACCATTCTGACTGGTAGGACAAGATATCTCACTGTAGTTTTGATTTGCATTTCTTTAATAATTAGTGATTTTGAACTTTTTTTCATATGGATGTTGGTCACATGAGAAGTGTCAGTTCATGGTCTTTGCCCACTTTTTAATGCAGTTGTTTTTTACTTGTTAATTTGTTTAAGTTATTTATGGATTCTGGACATTAGACCTTTGTCAGATGCATAGTTTGCTAATATGTTCTCCCATTCTGTACATTGTTTATTTACTCTGTTGATAGTTTTATCTGCAGCTCAGAGGTTCTTTAGTTTAATTAGGTCCCATTTGTCAATTTCTGCTTTTATTGCAAATTCTTTTGGTGCCTGTCATAAAATCTTTGCCAGGGCCTATGTCCAGAATGGTATTGCCTATGTTTTCTTCTACTGATTTTATTGTTTTAGGTTTTACATTTAAGTATTTAATCCCCCTAAGCTGATTTTTGTATCTGGTGAAATGGAGGAGGTCCAGTTACAATCCTCTGCATATGGCTAGCCAGTTATCCCAGCACCATTTATTGAATGTCATTTTACCATTGTCTTTTTGTTGACTTTGGTGATGATCAGATGAATGCAGGTGTGTAGCATTATATCTGGGCTCTCTCTTCTGCTCCAAGGATCTATATGTCTGTTTTTGTACCACTACCATGTTGTTTAGGTTACTGTAGTCTTGTTGCACAGTTTAAAGTTGAGTAATGTGATACCTTTCACTTTGTTTTATTTTTGTTTAGGATTACTTTGGCTGCTCAGGCTTTTTTTTTTTTCTTTGTTCCAAATGAATTTTAGAAGGTTTTTTTCTAATTCAGTAAAAAATGTCATTGGTAGTTTTGATAGATATGCCATTGAATATGTAAATTGCTTTAAGCAGTATGGCCATTTTAACATTAATATATTGATTCTTTCTATCCATGAGCATACAATATTTTTCCATTTGTTTGTGTCATCTCTGATTTTTCTCAGTGGTGTTTTATAATTATCATTGTAAAGATCTTTCACCTCTCTGGTTAGCCATACTCCTAGGTATTTTAATATTTGTGTAGTTATTGTGGATGTGATTTCATTATTCATTTAGCTCACAGGTTGGAAATTGTCATTGCTAATGATACTTGCACAATAATTTGCATTCTCAGACTTTGATGAAGTTGTTAATCAGATATCGAAAGCTGAGCAGAGACTATGTTGTTTTCTAGGTACAAAATCATGTCATTTGCAAATAGAGATAGTTGGACTTTCTGTCTTACTATTTGGCTGCATTTTCTTTTCTTTTCTTCCTAATTACTTTGGTTAGAATTTCCAATTATTGTATTGAATAGGAATGGTGAGAGTAAGCATTCTTGTGTTATTCTGGTGCTCCTGAATTCACTTCAGTAGTATTTACTTGAGGATATTTTCAGCTATGCTCATGAAAAATATTAGCCTGATGTTTTCTACTTGCTGTTGTGTCTCTGACAGGTTTTGGTGTCAGAGTGAAACTGGCCTCAAAAAATAAGTTATAGGGGAGTATCTCCCCAGTTTTTTTTAGAGTATTTTCAGTAGAAATATAACCAACTCTTCCTTATATATCTGGTAAAACTTGGCTGTGAATCACATTCTTAGGCTTTCTTCAGCTGGTGAACGTTTTATTATTGATTCAAGTTTGGAACTAGTTATTGCTCTGTTCAGGATTTCAATTTCTTTCTGGTTCAATCATGGGAGGTTGTGTTTCTAGGAATTTATCCATTTCTTGTATGTTTTCTAGTTTGTGTGCATAGAGGTATTTATAATACTATCTGAGACTTTTAAAAATATTTCTGTAAAGTTGATGGTAATGTCCCCTTGGTCATTTCTGATTGTGTTTATATGGATATTCTCTTTTTTTCTTTATTAAAGTAACTAGTGGTTTATCAATCTTACTTATTCTTTCAAACAACAACTAACTTTAGTTGTTTCTTGATCTTTTTTATCATTTTGTTCATCTCAATTTTACTCAATTCGTTCTGATTTTGGGTACTTCTTGTCTTCTGCTAGCTTTGGCATTGGTTGACTCTTGTTTTTCTAGTTCCACTAGGTGTGCTATTTGGTTGTTAATTTGAGATATTTTTAACTATTTGATGTGGGCATTTGGTGCTATAAACTTTCCACTGAATGCTGTCTTAGCTGTGTTCCAGAGATTCTGATATGCTGTATCTTTGTTTTCTTTACTTGCAAAAAATTTCTTGATTTCTGCTTTAATTTTATTGTTCACCCAAAAGTCATTCACAGGAAGGTTGTTTTGTTTCCATGTGATTGTATGGTTTTGAGCAATCTTCTTACTATTGATTTCTATTTTTATTGAGCCATAATGTGAGAGTGTAGTTGATATTATTTTGGCCTTTTAAAATTTTCTGAGAAATGATTTATGGCTGATTATGTGGTTGATTTTAGAGTGTGCACCATGTGCAGATGAGAAGAATGTGGATTCAGTTGTTGTAGGGTGGAGAGTCTCTAGATGTGTGTTAGGTCCATTTGGTAAAGGGTCAAGTTTGTGTCCCAAATATTTTTTAGTTTTCTGTCCCAGTGATTCAATTAGTACTGTAAGAGTGGTGTTGAAGTCTCCCACTATTATTGTGCGGTTGTCTAAGTCTCTTTATAGTTCTCTCAGAACTTGTTTTGTGAATTTGGGTGCTCCTGTGTTTCATGCATATATATTTAGGATAGTTATGGATTTTTGTTTAATTGAAGCATTTACCATTATGTAATGCCCTTCTTTGTCTTTTATAATCATTGTTCATTCAAAGTTTGTTTTGTAGTTATCTTGAAGATAGCACACAGTTGGGGTCTTGCTTCTTTATCCAACTTTCCACTCTGTGTTTTTTAAGTGGGGAACTTAGCTCAATAATGTTCTTGGTAAGTGTGTATTTGATTCTGTCATCATGTTGTTACCAGTTATTATACAGACATAGTTGTGTAGTTGCTTTATAGTGTCATTAGTTCATTAGGTATGTTTTTGTGGTGGTCAGTAATAGTATTTTATTTTCATATCTAGCACTCTCTTAAGGAACACTTTTTTTTTTTTTTTTTTTTTGAGACAGAATTTCGCTCTTCTTGCCCAGGGTGGAGTGCAGTGTTGCAATCTTGGCTCAATGCAACCTCTGCCTCCCAGTTGGTTCAAGCAGTTCTCCCGCCTCAGCTTCCTGAGTAGCTGGAATTACAGGCACAGTCCACCACACTTGGCTAATTTTTGTATTTTTAGTAGAGACAAGGTTTCACCATGTTGTCCAGGCTGGTCTCGAACTGCTGACCTAAGGTGATCTGCCCACCTTGACCTCCCAAAGTGCTGGGATTAGAGGCATAAGCCACTGTGCCTGGCCTTAAGGAACTCTCATAAGGCACATCCATTGGTAGCAAATTTTCTTAGCATTTGCTTGAAAGAATGGAAAGAAATCTTCTTTCTTTTTTGCTTATAAAGCTTAGTTTGGCTGAATATTAAATTCTTGGCTAGAATTTCTTTTCTTTAGAAATGCTGAATATAGGCCCCCAATCTTTTGCAGCTTGTAGGGTTTCTGGCTGAAAGGTCCACTGTTAGCCTGATGGGGCTCCCTTTGTAGGTGATCTGCTCCTTCTCTCTAGCTGCCTTTAATATGTTTCCATTTATATTGACCTTGGAGAATCTAATAACTGTGTGCCTTATGTATGGTCACCTTGTATAGTATCTTGCAGGTGTTCTCTGCATTTCCTGAATTTGATTGTTGGTCTCTACGACAAGGTTGATGTAATTTTTATTAAAAAAAATCTCAAACTTGTTTTCCAAGTTTCTTGTTTTCTCCCCATCTGTGTCAGGGATGCCAATGAGTCACATATTCAATTGCTCAATATAATCCCCTATTTCTCAAATGTTTTGTTTATTATTTTTTATTTATTTTTTCTGCCTGAGTTCATTTGAAGAACAAGTACTTAAACTTTGAGAATCATTGCTCAACTTGGTCTTTTCTACTGTTAATAATTGTGATTGTATTATGAAATTATTGTACTAAGATATTTAGCTCTATCCCATCAGTTTGGTTCTTTCTTAAAATGGCTATTTCTTTTTTATATATATACTTTAAGTTCTAGGATACATGTGCAGAATGTGCAGGCTTGTTACATAGGTATACATGTGCCATGGTGGTTTGCTGCACCCATCAGCCTTTCATCTACATTAGGTATTTCTCCTAATACTCTCCCTACCCTAGACGCCTAGCCCCCAACTGGCCCCATTGTGTGATATTCCCATCCCTGTGTTCATGTGTTCTCATTGTTCAACTCCCACTTATGAGTAAGAACATGCAGTATTTGGTTTTCTGTCCCTGGGTTAGTTTGCTGAGAGTGATGATTTCCAGCTTTGCCCATGTCCCTGCAAAGGACATGAAATCATCCTTTTTTATGGCTGCATAGTATTCCATGGTGTATATGTGCCACATTTTCTTTCTTTCTTTCTCCAGTCTATCACTGATGGGCATTTGGCTTGGTCCTTGTATCTTTCTATTGGGTTACTTAGATTCCTTGGATTTTGTTTCAACTTTATCCTGAATCTTGATCTTCATTTCTATACAGATTATGAATTATATGTCTGACATTTCAGTCATTTCAGCCTGGTTAATAACCATGTCTGGAGAACCACTACAGTCATTTGGCAGTAAGAAAACATTCTGGCTTTTTTGAGTTGCCAGAGTTTTTGCACTCTGGCTATTTTTCATATGTGTGGGCTGATGTTTCTTCAATTATTGCTGTCCTTTCAGTTGGGTTTTTGATTTTATATTCCTTGATGCCTTAGAAGTTTTAGTTGTGTTATAAGATGGGTTCAGTTGACTGGCTTCATTTCCACGAATTTAAGGGGGCAAGACAACTCATGACTCCTGAGATGGGATGTTTGCTATATTCCTGGAATACTCATACTGGAGCACCAGCTTTGTTCTATGGCCCCTTAAGCTTAGGAAGCTGCTGCACTGGAAGGCCCAAATTTTTTTCCAGTTTGCAGACCATACCAGTCCAGTGAAAGTGCCAGCCGAAGTACTTCATCAGGGCAGTGGCAGCAGGGTCTCATCTTCAGGCATGTGCCAGCAGCAGCAGTGCAGTGAGGTGCACAGTTTTCAGAGTGGTAGGGTGCCTAGTTGAGAAGCCAGCAGGGGTGGAGCAGCAGCATCTGGTCATGTGCTTGTGCCAGCAACAGTATGTTAGTGGAGTGTATGTATACACATGCACCTGTGGGGGAGGGGAGACAAAGTCTGCTCACACACATGTGCCAGCACTGCAGTTGGTTGGGGCATGTACAGATGTATGCCGGCAAAGTAGTGGGTATAGGCTGTGATGGTGGATGCTGTGAGTGGTTGGGTGTGTGTCAGTGATGTTTGATGTTCTGGAACTTTCTGATGGTTAGATGTGGTCTGATGGTGAAGGAGCAATGATGACAGCCCCCAGGAAGCATGCTGGTTGAGCATCTGAGGCTGCATTACAAGCAGCTGTGGCCAAGCTGGGTCCCCAAAATATTCCAACAGACAGGGAGATGCTGATATTGAAGTTGTCCCATTCCACATGTAAGACTACCTTGCTCTGTTCAAGTCCAGTAGTGACCAAAGTCCAATGCCACCTAAAGCAGCATGGGGAGCCTTGGGGATAGTTGTACCTGGCATACTCCACTGCAGCTATTCCCATGTCAGATCTTCTGGGCTTCACACAGGTTGTATTCCTGCCTTTGACCCCTCTCCAGAAAGCTCTCTCTGACATCTCAATTGTCTGTGGGGGTCGTTGTGTCTCCTAGAGCTAGGATTCCAGAGTGCTGTTGCAAGACTGGGCCATGGCTCACCTGTTTAACTTACCCCTTCCCCAGGAGGCATGGGGGGCCAGAAATGAGTCCTGGTGCTTAGTATCCTTGTGAACAGTTCCCAACTTTCTCTCCCTTCAGCCCATTGTCTGTGTCCTCTTTCCATATACTCTCAATGCTTTCCAACTGAAGGTGGTCTGTTTTGAGTGAGCCAGTCTTCCCAATGGCCTGTTCTCTTGGGGAAAGATGTTTTTTTCTTACTGCATCTAATTGGCCATCTTAACTTTCACTATTTTTTTCTAAAAAATGAAAACCATATGATCTAAATGACTATATGATCCCTTTTATCTTGTTATTGTCACCCCCAGGGGTCCCCAGATGATTTTATTCTAAGCTATAACAACTAATTTTGAAAATGACATATTCTCTGTCAGATTATTTTTCAATTAGCCATCAGTTAAATCATCTAACTGAGTCATGCTGGCAAAATTAGTGCATGCAAATAAAGAGTAACCGTGTATGAAAGCAACAATAAATTAACAGCAGATTTGACAGTTTGAAAAATACACAACAAATTGAAAGTAGATGAGATCTGTAAAGAAACTGTTATACAGGGAAGTACCATCTAAATTCCAAACAGTATAAATAAGAACAGGTTTTAAGGAAGCTAGTTCTTCAGAGTCAATATGTGAAATAAATAGAAAAGAGTCCATCAGGAAAATTAAATAGGAAACAGCATTTGGAACAGCAATGTCCATAACTCTCTGCATCCTTCCATGTTTATTCTGAAAATAATACATTATAGTGTATGTGTGTTGTGAATTGTGAATTGTGACCCCTCCAAAACTCATATATTGAAGCCCTCACTGCCAAGTGACTGTACTTGGAAATTGGGGTTTGTGGAGGTAATTAATGTTCAATGAGTTCATAAAAATGGGGTCCTAAGTTAATAGGATTTATGGTCTTATAAGAAGAGAAAGTTTCTCTTTCTCTCTCTCTGTCTCTCTATCTCTCCAAATATATAAACCAAGAAAATGCCATGTGAGAACAACGAGAAGACAGCCATTAACAATCCAGCAAGAGAGCACTTACCAGAACTTGCTGGCACTCTAATCTCATATTTTCAGCTTCTAAAATTGTGAGAAAATAAATCTTTATATTTCAGTAACACAATACATGGCACTTTTTATGGCAGCCTGAGCTACAACCATGTGTGTGAGTTTGTGTGTGTGTGCATGTGTGTGTTTTCATAGCCAAAAAATAAGTGTGAATACTTGGAACAGAAATACACAGCAATATTCCATAAAACTACTGACTTACAAGTTCAGAGTACATATAGCCAGAAAGTAAGTTACTGACATATTTCACTAGAAAACAGGGTCTGTGTCTATATAAACACTGAAGGTAAACTGCAGTTTAAAAATAACAAAAAACATCATTAAAATACAAGTAAAAAAGAATTGTCAAATACAAATATTTGCACAGAATTGATAACCTCCAATTATTTCTGAAAAACAAACATTATGAGAAAGAGAGGTCTTATATTGAATGAGTCAAAAAATTAAACATTGGAGAGAAAGTAAGTTAATAAACATTTTCAAAATAATTATGTTGAACATTCTTAGAGAAACTTGGATTACAAACACATAAAAATAATATCTTGAAAGGAAAGGAAATATTCAAAATTATAAGCTTATTGGATGGGGTTAATAGAATAGACACAGCTAAAAAGTGAATCAGTTTGTTGGCAAATAATATTTTAAATATTCCACAGTAAACTGAGCAAGGAAACCATAAGATGTAATATATAAGACAAGTTAAGACATGTGTAAGATAAATACAAAAGTTCCAACTGCCATTTGAAGGGAGTTTCTGAAAGTGAAGTTTCTAGAATAAAGGCAGTCATTCATGTTGGGCAGAGTAAAAGAAAAGAAAGTATTCTAAAAAGTGAACCATTTAAAATCAACAATGATAAACTGAAAATCTTAACACTTCCAGAGAAAGATAATTTTTTTAAGATTACCTACAATAAAAATAAACTAGGATTAAAGCAAGATGGCCAACTAGATGCATCTATGTGTGACAACAGCTGGCACTGAGAGATCGTGATGACTGGTGCACTCCTGACAGATCTTCACAGGGGAAAGCACTAAAGTTAGGCAGAGGGAAGACAGAAGCTAGGCTGAAGAGGAAGAAAGCTGGGAACGCTGCACAGGGCTACCAAACACCAGGATTTGTTTCTGACTGCCATTGAATCCAGGGAAATGGGTGAGTTGAATGGACAAAAAGCAAGCCACTCTCACCATGGATATCTGGAATCCTGGCAGGAGGAAACCTCTCGACCATCAAGGACACTTGAATTGGAAAGGACAGCTGCTTAGAGAAGTGGTAGGGGCAGCATGCCAGCAGATGTGGAACCCAGATAATTTGGTCTAGGAGTCTCTGTAGTGAAGCATGGCCAGAGACATCTATCCTGGCTCCCATAATTTAGCCCTAGGAAAACTGTCAGACCAGAACTCTGCAGAGCAGTCTTGCCCACCAGACAAGAATAGTCTGACCTTAACATCCAGTGGTCTGCTGGTGTCTCCCAGAAACCCAGCCTGGCTGTGCTTGCTTGAAGTGTCACCTTGGGTGACCTGGGGACCCACATCATAGCTCCTGTGCTGGCTTACTGCATGACCAACAGAGAGCTCCAGCAGGGCAGCCCCCATGGCTACACACTAGCACACCCACTCTTTCCCTCTCACTGCAGCTTTCCTGGAGCCCATGGCCACCCCCATATGGCTTTGCATGTGTGTATGTGTGTGTGTGAGTGTGTGTGTGTGTGTGTGTGTGTGTGTGTATTTTGCCTTCCCTGCCCTGCCAGGGCATGTGTGTGTGTGCACCCTCTCCTGACTTTACTGCTGGCAGGAGTGCATTCCACCACCCCTACTTTGCTGTACCACCACAGAAGCCAGAGCATTGGCTGGTATCAAGCCCACCAGCCCTGCTCCTTCTGGTGAACTGCCCCAGCACCAACAGTGCCCCTAGAGTGAAACCAGGCATAGAGAAAACTGGACTCTTCCCCACCCTGGGCAGCCACACAGGGCACACACGAACCTGCACCCATCAGCACCCTGCCCCCATGCTAACACCACCACAAGCACAACCATGTACAAAGTTGCCAGTGTGGGGGCCCCAAGCCTTGCTGTCTCTGCAACTGCTGTGAACACTCACATAAAGGCAGGCACCCCAGCACCTGCTAGTACCTTGCCACAATGAATAAGCATGCATCCCACAACACTGTCACTGCTGCTGCTGCTAGTACATGTGAGGAAGAATTGATCCTGCTGCCATCACTCTACAAAATGGTTTGTCTGGCACTACCCCTCAGAGTGTAGTGACCAGCAGTCTGAGAGCACCTTATCACCCCAACCCCTGCTATCAGTGTAGTAAGTTTCTAACATCAAAGAAAAAGAGAACAAAGTTGGGGCCTGATGCGAGTCTGCCAGAGTTAGAGTATATGGTCCAGGAGTTGTGAACTGAGGCTTGCCCCCCGACTAATATCTTCCAGAAATAAAGCCAGTCAACTGAACCCACCTTATATCACAATCAAACCCTCAAGGTCATCAAATAGAATAGAATAAAAAAAAGCAACATCAAAGATTGAAAGAACATTAGCCCAAAAGATGAGAAACAACCAGCATTAGAACTCTAATAACTTAAAAAGCCAGAGTGCCATATGTCCTCTAAATGACTACACTGCCTCTCCAACAAAGGTTCTGAACTGGGCAGAGATGGCTAAAATGACAGAAATAGAATTCAGAATGTGGTCAAGAATGAAGATCATTGAGATGCAGAAGTACATTGAAACCCAATCTAAGGAAGGTAAGAATCACAATAAAACAATATAGGAGCTGACAGACAAAATAACCAGTGTCGAGAAGAACATAACCAACATGATAGAGCTGAAAATCACACTAAAAAAATCCATAATGCAATCACGAGTATTAATAGCAGAATAGATATAGCTGAAGAAAGAATCTCCGAACTTGAAGAATTGTTTCCTGAAATAAGATGGTCAGACAAGAATGGAGTAAAAGAGTGAAAATGAATGAACAAAACCTCTGCAAAATATGGCATTATGTAAAGATCCAAATAAATTACTGTTTAGAGTCCCCGAAAAAGACAAGGATAATGGAAGCAATTTGGAAAACACATTTCAGGGTATCACCCATGAGAACTTCACTGACCTAGCTAGAGAGGCCAACATTCAAACTCAGGAAATGCAGAGAACCCTATTAAGATGCTCCGCAAGAAGATTATCCCAAAGACCCATAATCATCAGATTCTTCAAGGTTGAAATAAAAGAAAAAAATTCAAAGGCAGCTAGAGAGAAAGGTCAGGTTACTTATGAAAGGAAGCCTATCAGAATAATGGCAGACCTCTCAGCAGAAACCCTATAAGCCAGAAAAGATTGAGGCCTAATATTCAACATTATTTAAAAAAAATTCTAATCAAGAATTTTATATCTGGCCCAACTAAGATTCATAAACAAAGAAGCAATACAATCCTTTTTAGACAAGCAAATGCTGAGGGAATTCATTACCACCAGACCAGTCTTTCAAGAGCTCTTGAAGGAATCACTAAACATGGAAAAGAAAGATCATTCCAGCCATTGCAAAAGCACACTTAAATACACAGATCAATGACACTAAAGCAACCACACAAATACTTCTGCATAACAACCAGCTATCATAATGATGACAGGATAGCTGCATAACAACCAGCTATCATAATGATGACAGGTTCAAATCCACACATATAAATACTAACCTTGAATGTAAACAGGCTAAATGCCCTAATTAAAAGGTGCAGAGTGGCAAGATGGATAAAGAACCAAGATCCAATGTTATGCTCTATTCAAGAGACTCATCTCAACTGTAATGGCACCCACAGGCTCAAAATAAAGGGATAGAGAAAAACCTACCAAGCCAACAGAAAACAGAAAAAAGCAGGAGTTGCAATCCTAATATCAGACAAAACTGACTTTAAACCAACAAAGTTCAAAAAAGATAACAAACGACATTACATAATGGTAAAAGTTTCAATTCAACAAGAAGACCTAACTATCCTAAATATATATGCACCAAACACAGGAGTATGCAGATTTGTAAAGCAAGTTCTTAGTGACCTCACAGAAACTTAGGCTACCACATAATAATAGTGGGATACTTCAAAATCCCACTGACAGTATTAGACAGATTATCAAGGCAGAAAACAGAAAATTAACAAAAATATTCGGGACCTAAACACAGTACTGGATCAAATGGATCAGATAGATATCCGCAAAATGCTCCACCAAAACGCAACATAATACATACATTCTTCTTATCATCTCATGGCACATACTTTAAATTCAACAACATAATCAAACAAGAAATACTCTTCAGTAAATACAAAATAACTGAAATCATAATAACCACTCTCTAGGACCAATGCTCAATAAATTAGAAATTAAAACTAAGAAATTCACTCGAAATCATACATAATATGGAAGTTGGATAAGCTGATTTTGAATGACTTCTGGGTAAATAATGAAATTTAGACAGAAATCAAGAAATTATTTGAACCTAATGTGAAAAAAAATACAATATACCAGAATCTCTGTGACACATCTAAGACAATGTTAAGAGGGAAATTTATAGCAGTAAATGCCCAAATAAAAAAGTTATGACAATTTTAATTTAACAACCTAACATCAATGGTATTCACATGGTATCAGTGCTATTCATGTGGTATCAGTGGTAACATCAATGGTATACACATAAGTGTAAGAACTTTAAAAAGTACTTATTTGCAGATGACATGATCTTATAAAGAGAAAATCCTAAAGATTCCACCAAAACACTCTTAGAACTGATAAACAGCATCAGTAAAGTTGCTAGACATAAAATCAACATACAAAAATTGGTAAAATTTTTATACACGCATAGAGAAGTAGCTGGAAAAGAAATGTCAAGAAAATAATTCCATTTAAAACAGCCAACTAAAAATAATAACATATCTAGGAATAAATTTAACAAATGATGTAAAAGATCTACTCAATGAAAATTATATAATTTTCATGAAATAAATTGAAGAGAAAAATGAAAAGGCATCCCATATTTATGGATTGGAAGAATTAATGTTGTTAAAATGACCATAATACCCAAAGTGACCCACAAATTTAATGCAATGCCTATCAAAATACCAATGACATTCTTACAAGAAAAAGCAACGATAAAATTTCCATAGAACCAAAAAAACCCGAAAGCCAATGCCTATCTGAGCAAATAGAACAAAGCTACAGGCACCACATTACCTAATTTCAAAATATTCTACAAAGCCATAGTAACCAACAACATGGTACTGTCATTAAAAATAGACACATACACCAATGAAAGATAATAGAAAACCCAGAAATAAATCCACATATTTGCAACCATCTCATTTTCAACAAGGGCACCAAGAACCTACACTGAGAAAAGGACACTCTCTTTAATAAAAACTGCTGGAAAAACTAGATAGCCATATGCAAAAGATTGAAACTGCACCCCTTTCTCTTAACATATACAAAAATGAACTCAAAATGGATTAAAAACCTGAATGTAAGACCCAAGTCTGTGAGAGTACTAGAAGAAAACATAGAGGAAATGCTTCAAGACATTGGTCAGGGCAAAGATTTTACAGATAAGACTTCAAAACCACAGGCAACAAATATAAAAATAGACAAATAGGATTATGTGAGACTAAAAACCTTTGGCACAGCAAAGGAAACAACGGAGTGAGGAGACAACACAAAGAATGGGAGAAAATGTTTACAAACTCTTCATCTGAAATAAAATTAATATCCAGAATACCAAAGAATCTGGAACAACAGTAAAATAATAAAAATCTGATTCTACAATGGGTATAAATGATCTAAATAGAAATTTATTAAAGGAAGATCTGAAAATGGCAAAGGAATAGTTGAAAAATGCTCAGCATCACTAATCACCAGGGAAATGCAAATAAAAACCACAGTGAGATATGATCTCACCCTAGTTGGAATGGCTATTATCAAAAAGACAAAAAAAAAAATCGATGCTGCTGAGGATGTGGAGTAAAGGGAACTCTTATACACTGTTGGTAGAAATGTAAATTAGTACATCCATTACAGGAAGCAACATGGAGGTTTCTCAAAAACTAAAAATAGAACTACCATATTATCCATCAATCCCACTGTTGAGTTTATATCCAAAGAGAGGAAATCAGTATGTCAAAGAGATATCTACATTGTCATGTTTATTGCAGCACTATTCCCAATAGCCATGTAATCAAACTAAGTGTTCATCAACAGATTAACAAATTAAAGAAAATGTGGAATATATACACAATGGAATACTATTCATCCATAAAAAATGAAAACCTGCAATTTTTGGCAAAATAGATGTGCCTGGAGGACAATGTTAAGTGAAGTAAGCCAGGCACAGAAAGATAAATACCACATGTTTTCACTCATATGTGGAAGCTAAATAAGTTGATGTCACAGATGTAGAGAACAGAACAGTGGTGACTAGAGGCTGGGAAGAGTAGGGAATGAGGGTGATAGAGATAGGTTGTTTAACAAATAGGAAGTTACAACTAGGTAAAAGGAATAAATTCTAGTGTTCTAGAGCACTGTAGGGAGACTATTTTTTTTTTCATTTTTTAACGTTTATTTTAGGTTTGGAGGTACATGTGAAGGTTTGTTACATAGGTGAACACAAGTTACAGGAGTTTGTTGTACATATTACTTAATTGCTCAGGTATTAAACCCTGTACCAAATAGTTATCTTTTCTGCTCCTCTCTCTCCTCCCACTCTCCCCCTTCAAGTAGACCCCATTATCTATTGTTTTCTTCTTTGTGTTCATAAGTTCTTATTATTTAGCTCCCATTTATAAGTGAGAATATACAGTATTTGGTTTTCTGTTCCTATGTTATTTTGCTAAGGATAATAGCCTCCAGCTCCATTCATGTTCCCACAAAAGACATGATCTTGTTCTCTTTCATGGCTGCATAGTATTCCATGGTGTATATGTGCCATGTTTTCTTTATCTAATCTGTCGCTGATAGGCATTTAAGTTGATTCCACTACTGTGAATAGTTCTGCAATGAACATTCGTGTGCATGTCTTTATGGTAGGATAATTTATATTTCTCTGGGTATATACCCAGCAGTGGGATTGCTAGGTCAAATTGTAGTTTTGGTTTTAGCTCTTTGAGGAATTGCCATACTGCTTTCCACAGTGGTTGAACTAATTTACACTCCCACCAAGATTGTATAAGTGATCCTTTTTCTCCAAAACCTAACCAGAATCTGTTATTATTTGGCTTTTAGTAATAGCCATTCCGCTTGGTGTTAGATGGTATCTCATTGTGGTTTTGATTTGCATTTCTGTAATAATCAGTGATATTGAGCTTTTTTATATATGCTTGTTTGCTGCATGTATGTCTTCTTTTGAAAAGTGTCTGTTCATGTCCTTTGCCCACTTTTTAATGGGGTTGTTTGCTTTTCTCTTATAAATTTGTTTAAGTTCCTTATAGATGCTGGATATTAGACCTTTGTCAGATGCACAGTTTGCAAATAATTTCTCCCATTCTGTAGATTGTCTGTTTATTCTGTTGATGGTTTATTTTGCTGTGCCAAAGATGGTAAGTTTAATCAGACCCCCAAAACAAGCAATGGTGAAAAGATTCCCTAGTCAATAAATGGTGCAGGAATAAATGGCTAGCCATATGCAGAATATTGAAGCTAGACCCCTTCCTTAAACCATACACAAAGATCAACTCAAAATGAATTAAAGACTTAAATGTAAAACCCAAAGCTATAAAAACCCTGGAAGACAGCCTAGGCAATACCATCCTGGACATAGGAACGGGCAAAGATTTCATGACAAAGACACAAATAACAATTGCAAAAAAGCAAAAATTGACAAGTATGGTGACTATAATTAACAATAATTTATTCTATATTTTCTAATAGCAAGAAAAGAGGATTTTGAATGTTCCCAACACAAAGAAGTAATACATGTTTGAGGTGATATATATGTTAATTATCCTAAGTTGATCATGACACGTTGTATACAGCTATCAATAAATCACACTTTATCTTCTGGAAAATTATTTTGTACCAATTAAAAGTAACTTAAAAACACGAGAAAGACCAAAAATACATGAGAACACTATTTCAGCACTATGGGCATTTTTAATTTTAACCATTATGATAATTTTGTAGTGGTATCTAATTGTGACATATTCCTGATAACCGTTGAAATCATATACTTTTCATATTTATTATCCATTTAGCTATGTACTTTTGTGGAGTGCCTGCTGATGCTTTTTGATTATTTTTTTTAATTTGGATTGTTTGTCTATTTCTTATTTAGTTACAGTCATTGTTTGTATGTTTTTGATATATTTTTTTCCATTACATTGTTTACAACTATCTCCTCCCACTCTGTAATTTAGTTTAGCTTTTTTTTTTAACTCTTGTTGAACAATGCATTTTTACTAGTGGGGTCTAAAGTAGCTGTTTCTTTTATAGTCAGCATTATTTTGTCTTGTTTATAAAATATTTATTTACTTCAAGATAATAAAAAGATATTCTCCTATGATACTACTAGAATTTTCATTGTTTTAACTTTGCTATGTACATATAGTAAACCTAGGATTGCTTTATTGTGTATTGTGTGAGAGTCCAATATTCATGTTTTTAAACTACTTTATTAAATAATATTGACATATATGAGGCTTAGATATTTAACATATGCAACTTGATGTATTTAGAGATAACTATACACCTTTAAAACCATAACCACAATCAATGCAATAAATTCAACCACCACTTCCACAAGTTTCCCCCATTTAAATTTTTTTTTATTTTTCCCCCTTTTGTGATAAGAGCACTCAATATGAGATCTATGCTCTTAGCAATTTTTAATGAATACAATATATTATTATTAATCACAGGCCCTATGCTGCACAGTAGATCTCTAGAATTTTTTATTTTGCATAACTGCAACTTTGTCTTCTTTGATAAACTTTGCCTCATTTTCCCATCCTGCTAGCACCTGGAAACCACCATTCTCCTCTCTACTTCTCTGGATTTGACTGTTTCATATACCACACATAGGTGAGATCATGCAGTACTTGTCTTTCTGTGTCTGACATATTTCACTTAGCAAAATGTCCTCCAGGTTCATCCATATTGTCACAAATGTCAATATTTCCTCCTTTTTTAAGGCCAAATTATACTCCACTGTATGTATCAACCACAGTTTCATTATACATTCATCCATTAATGAACATTTAGGTGTTTTAATAATCTTGGCTATTGCAAATAATGCTTCAATGAACATAGGATTGCAGACATCTTTTTGTGATCCAGATTTCAATTTTTTGGCATATATATGCCAAAGAGGAATTACAGGATCAAATGGCAACTCTATTTTTAATTTTTAATGGAATCTCCCATATTGTTTTCCATAGAAGCTACATCAGCTTACATTCCCACCAACAGTGTAGATGGGTTCACTTTTCTCCACAGTGTTGTCAACATATTTATTTAAAATATGGTCCTTTATGCATGCTCTTTAGAGCCATCTTTAACATATATCAACTGTCCAGATATGTGTTGTCTATTTCACAACTCTAGACTGTTCAAATGATTTATTTGACTATCTTCACCTCAATCCCACACTCTCATCTTTACTGTAGCTATATAATGAGTCTTGATACCTGTTGGTTCATCCTTCACTTATATTATTTCTGGTGCTCTATTTATCCAAATAGATTTGAAAATTATCTTGTTAATTTTCACAAAAACCTAATAGAATTTTGATGGGGATTGGATGAATATGACCAAGAAGTTTAGAAGAACTGACATCATTAAAATATATAGTCTTCTAATCTATGAATAGGCTATACTCCTCCATTATTTTATTTTTAAAACTACTGCTAGGGTATAAAATGCAATTGATTTTTATATATGGACCTTGTGGCTAGCAGTCTCACTTAATTCATCTATTAATTCTAATAATCTTTTATGCATATTTTTAAAGATTTTTACATACTGAACCATGTTGTCTGTGAATAAAAACTGTATTATTTCTTTTTGCAATCCTTATCTTCCAGATACCACCTTTTGTCGGAACTCGAGTCATGACTGACCCTCACTATACTGATGCTTTCTGACTGAGTTTCTCTCTACCCTAAATACAAGAGACTCTAATAGTTAGGCAGGAATATCATTGCCCCTATTCCGCCTGAAGAAGTTACAGAAGACGGATCTTTGCCCCTCTGCAACCCTTAAGATTAAGGGTTCTCTTATAAAAGGGAGAAGGGAAATGCCAGAGGCATGTGAACCAGAGCAACTCCATCTTAAGTAGGAGCTGGGTAAAATGAGGCTGAGACTTACTTGGCTGCATTCCCAGGCAGTTAAGGCATTCTAAGTCACAGGATGAGATAGGAGGTCAGCACAAGATACAGGTCATAAAGACCATGCTGATAAAACAGCTTGCAGAAAAGAAGCCAGCTAAAACCCACCTAAACCAAGATGGCCATGAGAGTGACCTCTAGTTGTCCTCACTGCTGCACTCCCACCAGTGCCACGACAGTTTACAAATGCTATGGCAACATCAGGAAGTTTCTCTATATGGTCTAGAAAGGGAAGGCAGGAATAATCCACCCCTTGTTTAGCATATCTTCAAGAAATAACCATACAAATGGGCAACCAGCAGCCCTCAGGGCTGCTCTGTCTGTGGAGTAGCCATTCTTCTATTCCTTTACTTTCCAAATAAACTTGCTTTCATTTTACTCTATGGACTCATCCTGAGTTCTTTCTTGCATGAGATGTAAGAACCCTCTCTTCGGGTCTGACTCTGGACTCCTTTCCTTTAACAGTCTTCCAATCTATGAATAGGCTATACTCCTCCATTTGTTTCATTGTTTTAAACTGTTGCTAGTATATAAAATGCAATTGATTTTTGTATATTGACCTTGTGGCTAGCAGTCTCAATTTATCTATTAATTCTAATAATCTTTTATGCAGATTTATTCAGATTTTAAATACACAACCATGTCATCTGTGAATAATAACTGTATTATTTCTTTTTGCAATCCTTACTTTTCATTTCTCCTTTCTCACATTATTACAGAGTTTACAGTTTGCCTCTTTGCCTAATGCCAATTCCACAAAAAATTCAATATTTTATCGTTAAAAATATTTAAGTTTATGGAGAAACTCTTTTAAATATTAATAAATTGCCATTGAAATTCTAGTGGCTAAGTATTTGGCTCATGAATGAATGTTGAATTGCATCCCATAAATTTTCTGCATCTATTGAGATTCTTACATTTTTTCCTTACTCTTAATATAATGACTTACATTAATTTTCTAATGTTAAATCAACTTTTCATTTCTATTATAAACTTGATTATGATATATTGACCTTTTCATATATCATTTAATTTGACTTGCTAATATATTTTGGATTTCTGCTTCCATGTTCCTAAAAGATATTTGCATGTTCTTTTCTTTTCTTGTAATGTTTTCGTCAGATTTTGGCATCATACTTTAATTACAAAGTAAGTCCTTAATTTTTTTTTATTATCATAAAATGTTTAGGTTAATATTGGTGTCATTTTCTTTCCTTAGTGGTCTGTAATAATTCACTGGTGAAGTCATCTAAGCCTGGAGTTTTGGTGGTAGAAAACTTCAAATTACAGAATTGATTTTTAATAGATAGAAAACTATTCAGACATTCTGTGTGCTTGTGTCAGTCATGTATAGTACAGTTTTCAAGATATTTATCAATTTTATCTGAATGTTTAAATGTATTCCCAATGTTGTTAATATCCTCTCATCTTTTAATGTCTGCATGATCAGTCACATTCCTAAAATTGTCATTTTATCTTTTTTTCTTTATCTTGATAATTACTTTATTAAGTAAAGGTAATTATCAATTATTTTTAAAGAAAAAACTTCTGAATTTTAAAACTCCTTGGCGTATGTTTTGTAGTTCAGTAGCTTCTGATCTTAATTTTTATTGTTAATAAAAATTATAAAATAAAAATCTTATTTTTACTGGATTTTGGCTTAACTGTTGTATTTTCCAAATTATTGAAATGACTATTTAGATTATTAAATTCCAATCTTTCTTCTTGTCTAATATATGAATTTAAGGCTATATATTTACCTCCAAGCATGACTTTAGCTATATCTCATTGTTTTATATGTTAAATTTTTATTAATTTCAACATATTTTCTAAATTTTATTATGATTTTTTGAAGCTATTTAAAATAATGTCTGTGTATATATCTGTGTGTAAGTCCTAAACAATGCAAAGAACTTAGAACCCTTAATGCAAATTTGTACCCTCTAACTACTGGTCTTTTTTTATTCATGTGTTTATTTCCCCGATTTCAAAATTCCTTTGTGTATGAGATTTTATTCATTTTCTGAAAGAAGCGACAGTATTTCATGGAGAGACATAGCAAGGTTCCAAACTGAAAACAAATAGATGTTAAGCAGTGATTAAGCATTTACTTTCAGAACCATGTATGGCCATTTTCCTATTACACTTCCACTCTCATTACCCCATATGCAAAAAATGTTGTTAGTGGCAGCGTTGTTATTTGTGCCCAGAATAAACTTGAGATGTCATCTCTAAAGAAAGGGAGTGCCTAATATTTTTAATTTTGTTGTGATACATCAGAAAAAAGAATGCACACACACAAAAAAGGCAGAAGTAAATTTCATTCTCCACAACAGAACTAGAGATGAGAAACAAATAGTAACTTTACCAGGAATAAAATAACCCAAAAATTATCACAGTGTCGAATATTTCTAATTTTGTTGTGACACATCAGGAAAAAAAAAGGCAGAAGTAAATCTCTTTCTCCACAACAGAAATAGAGAGGAGAAACAGATAGTAACTTTACCCAGGAAGGAAATAAGCTAAAAACTATCAACACTCAAAATCTCTTTTTTTTTTTTTTTTTTTTTTTGCTATTTGAGGATGTTAACACCTATCTAACTGCCACCACGTAACCACACATCCCAACGTGAAGTCTACCTCTGAGAAAAAATATATAAAATGCAATGCATATCATGTTTAAATATATATTAATAAATGAAGACTTATTGAGATACAAATGATTATATTAATGGCTACGATAATATATCCTAAACTATTAGCACTGGTTTCTTCTGTAAAGAAAAGTAGGAATTAATGGGAATTGACAGAGAACTTTTGTGTTCTACTCTATTTCTTTGTTGCTCAAAACTTTTACAACTAGAATGAACTTAGTAGATCCATATTTTATTTGTGTAGATTAAAAACATAATAGCATGATAACTTTAAAAATTGACCAACTAGTATTTCGTAGCTATTGTGTTCAGTTCTGGATTAAATATCAGTGTCATATTTTTAGTTGATTGAAATAAAAAGGAAATCTGCCATATTTTTCCCCACAGATTGAAGCTAATCATTCTTAAGCACAAATGAGCTGTTTCATATAATATACATGCTATATTAACTCTTTCCCTTCAAGATGTTTGAGCAAAATTTTATGTTATCAGTCAGAAGGCTCCATTTATTAAGGATTCCTTTGATTGCTGTAACAGAAACCTAACTTAAAGTAACTTAAGCAAGTTGTGATTAGGTCACTGGAAGATCTTGTCTTAAGGATAACTGGATTTAGCACTTCAAATGGTTTTAGGAATCTCTTGCCTGTATGGAAGGGAGGATAATCTTAGGCAGCTTCTAGGCTAACCTCACAACTTTGTAAACATAGAGAAAAACAGTTTCAAAAATTCAGTAAATAAACATTCTCAAACTATTTGGGGCTACAGATCCACTTCTGTTGGAGTAAGGGTGATTATTATCAGAACTAGAATTGATAATAGACATAAAATAGCATATATACACTACATACTTCAGAATGAGTCAAAAAAGCTAGCAACAGTAATCTAGCCCAAACTTTAAAAAAATAAGTAGAGTTATTAGCTAGAAACTGGTATAATTCACATAATCCAAAAAATGTGTTGAAGCCACATGTCCAAAATTTGAACCTGACTCAAACGAGGGAATATAATGCTTTCAGGATACTTTCTCCCTCTCTCTCTCTCTCTCTCTCTCTCTCTCTCTCTCTCTCTCTCGTCTCTAATTACTTTCAAACAATGCTTTACTTTTTTTTTTTTTTTTTTTTTTACAATGCTCTACATTTTTCCCACAGAGCAGCAGACATATCTGCTGCCAAGTCCAGGCTCTTGTTTTTGAAACTTTGTGGCCAGACAAAAAATAGACTCTTTCTTTTCTTTTTATTTATAAGCTTTTTAATCAATCAATTTATTTATTTTTTCTATTATGTTTTGACATCTTAGATGCAATGTCAAAACATTTCAGTAAATTACTGATATGGTTTGGCTCTGTGTCCCCACCTCAATCTCATGTTGAATTGAAATCCCCAGTGTTGGGGGAGGGACCTGGTGGGAGGTGATTAGATCATAGGGGTGAATTTTTCCCTTACTGTTCTCATGATAGTGACTGAGTTTTTATGAGATCTGGTTGTTTAAAAGTATGTAGCACTTCCTCCTTTGCTCTCTATTCCTCTTGCTCCAGCCATGTAGGACTTGCTGGCTTCCCTTTTGCCTTCCACCATGATTGTAAGTTTCCTGAGGCCTCCCCAGCCGTGCTTCCTGTACAACCTGCAGAACCATGAGCAATTAAGCTTCTTTTCTTTATAAATTACCCAGTCTCAGACAGTTCTTTATAGCAATGTGAGAACGGACTAATACAATTACACTTAACATTATGACCTCTTTCATACCTTCACATTTTGAGTCAACCACTTTGGTAACATTTTGAGGAGGTCCTATAATTTCTATATTGAGTATCATGACTTCCTGGTAATTAGAAAGGGTGAATTGGGTATGTGTAAACAAGAATCAGTAGATATACATACACTACAGATATATCAGTAAGCTTTAAGTCTTAAAGTGTGCAATAAATCAATGTAAATATTTTATATATAAAAATAGTGTTAAGGAGATATGAAACAAGTTAAAGACTCTGGTAAAAAAATATTTTTAGCTATCTTTATTTCACAGATTATTGCCTGCATGTTGGAAATAAATATTTTGAGGTAAAAATTACAGTTACATTTTGCATGTTTACTTCACTGTTATAGTTTTGTGACTTTTGAGTAGAAGATGTTTATTTTGTTGCTTTAAGACTTATTTTCCTTTGAAAATACTTAAATTATGTTTCATTCTTAATTATAATTTTATGTCCACTTGCCAAAGCACTTTCCATGAGACTATATTTTTAGTTTTATAACTCAAACACTGGTAAAATACTGTCCTCTTGATCTAACTTTGTTTTATGCAACACTACTAGAATTAACCTATTCTCTGAAGTAAGAGCTACCAGTAATTCATTAATAGACTAGTTTTTGACTCATCTTCACTCAACTTAGTTTCACATGGCTACCACTAAGCGGCAGTGTAGCAACATTCTTCTGTGTAGTGTTGCTCTCACTTATTCCACTTCACATTTTGTTTCCTTTAAGAATGTCAAAGTTTTTTATTCATTCTATTTTTTAAATGGATGGGACAATGGTATTTCTGGTCTTAATTTCTGTTTTTAACTTTCAATTTTAGCTAACATTTCTGTAATCATGCAACTTATGTAATTTGTCAATTTTTTTTTGTAGAGAAAGAAACTAGTAAATCTGGTTTGCCAGCCTTTTTTTCTCTAGCTGAGCATGACAATGGGATAGTTAATTTTAAACTGGTTTTGGTACTGTCTTAGAATCAAAGCCTAAGCTATTGCTCCAGTTAGTAGAACCCATATGTGTGGTAGCCAGAAGAAAATTTGCCTTCAGTATTTTAGCCATCACATAATATTACTTCTGGAAAAGCCTGGTGGTACAGTTCACTAAGTTGAATTTTCTGTATTAATAATTACCAAATATGATCTCTGACACACTCAGAGTGCCAGAAGACACCCTAAAGATTATCCAGTAGTCCAACTCCCTCATTTTAGAATGAGATTTGATCCAAAAAATGTTCAGATTATTAGCTGTGTTCGCATATCCAGTTTATGGCAAAATCAAGACTAGGGCTGAGAAGCTTTCATTCTCAGTCCAGATGTTTTTATAATTGTTATCTCCTTGAAACTTGGGTAATGATATATGATCCCAAATAACTTAAAACTAATATTTGCACAAATGGTCATGTATTGGTCATATAAACAAAAACTTCAGATTAACTTTCTTCCCACTGGGGTAATCAGTGTTGAGAAGGCATAGACAGAAAGATCTAATTTGCCATCCAAATTGAGTATAATTTTTCTTAAGAGTCTATCATTATGTTCAAGTTTATCATTAGGCTTCACAAAGACATATTTGTAAAGTGTTTACATCTTCCAATTTGTATAGACTAACCACAAATAAAGAGTACATATAGAGTTGGTCTAAAATTGTGTTCCTATTATAATAAAAACAATTTGTTCTCTTCAACACACAGTAGTTGGATACTCTCACTCTTACATGGTAGGGTAAGAGTGTTCGCATTAGGTTTGTCACACTCCTGCAGCTCTTCTCTTGTCACAATTTAATTCCAGCAAACTATGTGTGGGTTTAGTTTTCAGTTTTGAGGTTTTAAACTCAGGAAAACAGCAATAGTTTTTTTATTAACTAACAGTAAATCATAATAAAACCTAGACCAGCTGTTCCCCTGACCAGCATAAGGTGGTACTGTGAATGTAAGTTTAATTTCTGGAACTCCATGGGAAAAAATTCAAAAAAGGGCTCTTTGCCCTTTGTTAATTGCAAGATAGAAATTCCAACAAAGTGATGAGGAATATGATTATTTTTATGAATCACTGCAGAGTAGCAATAACAAAATACCAACGGGTAAAAAATACTGCCTCAAAAAACTGCAATTGTGTGTGTATTAAATAATAATTCTCACTGAAATTAATGTAGTCTACCAAAATTTGTCATATTATTATTCATAATATTGAAAGATTTTGACGTTACTTAAAGATTTGCATTTTTAAAAATTTTAAGAGCATATATAGCTGTCTGTACTCCACCACTGTTTATTTACCTTGAATACAATTTCTGTACTTTTTGAGATTCTTGTTCTCTTACTCAGACCCAAATTGTCAATATATAAAAGCTAAATTGCTTCCAAAAACTGATTGCAAACAGATTCAGACCAAAAACAAATCAATCAAGTAGAAATGATTCTTAGATTACTAACAGTATATTATGCACTGAACAAGGTTCAAAGTTTAAAAATGTTTTCTGCATTATATTTGCTAATGATTATGTTGTGATTAGTTGCGAACCAAGCAGGCAGTGTATGTTATGTCCAAAATGAACAAAGTGGAAGGCAGATGGGTGAAAAGGTTTGCAGATAAATAAGTTACTTTAGTCTGAGATGGCCAAAGGTATCCTTCAAATGATTTAATCCCCTACCCATCTCTTAGCAGTTTGACATCCTCTAAGTTCTAACACAACCCTATCTCCCCCTACTCTACCTGCCCTGTCCAGTACAGTAGTCACTAGCCACAAGCGTCTGTCCCAATTTAAATTGTATTAACTAAAATAAATATAATTACATATTAAATTCCTCAGTCACACTGGCCATATTTTAAGTGCTCAATACCAACATATGACTAATGACTCCTGTATAAGACAAGGCAGATTATAGAGTATTTTTACTATTGAAGAAAGTTCTATTCGATGGTGCTGTGAGTTTACCAGTTAGCTTAAATAATCTCACCTGCATCATGTCTCATCTACCACTGATGACTACTTTCATGTCTCTCTCTATACCTCAGTTTCCTCATATGTTAAATGAGAACAATAATAGCTACCACATAGGCGTGCTGTGAAGATAAAACAAAACAATACGTTTCAATATTTTTTAAAGTACTGGACCCATAGTAGACCCTCAATTATTTTTAATGAATGAGAAACGTCTTCATTGTTGTTAAGAACAACACTATTGAACTCCAGCGCTGTATATTTAACAACCTACTAAATATCTACATTAGAATTTCATACAGGAACCTCAACTCAATATAGCCAAAGCGTAATAATACAGATCAAGACTGTCTTATGCATAATCACCATTTGAATATCTGAAAACAGCCATTATTTCTACCCTTGCATTACTCTGTTAAAACTACTTAGTCCCTTTAATATTTTTGCTGATGTTTTCTAAACCCCTATCATTTTTAAATGCTCAGCTTAAATGTCACTTCTTTTGTGAAGTTATTCCTGTTTTTTATGACATCTAGTAATTTGTTGAACAAACCGTCAACTGCATTCGCATTCTACTTGAAAAGTTTTGCCTTTTTGTTCACTTCCATTATTAGAACACAAGTTACCTGACCAAAAGTGCTGTTTCTTATCATGACATTCTTAAATGATAGCACAGATCCTATCACAGAGTAAGGACTAGCCAAACCCTGTTTGAATGAATATTTCACATATAAGAGGAGCTTTGAACTATGGGCCAAAAGATTAGTAGAGTTTAGATGGTGGAATAAAGGGCAAAAATGCCATTAGTGAAGCCATCATTGTGTGCAAGTGTAAAGTGCTTTGTGGGGGAGGGAGTGAATAGGCCAGTTTCCTTGGAGATGATGATTAATTTTGGAATAAATTGTAAAATGAGTAAGAAAACATTTTCTGAGTTTGAAAGAGAGGTCCACATTATCCTATAAGCAGTGGGGAGTCATGGTGAATTGGGATGGGGAAAGTAACATTATCAAAGCAAACTTTCGGCAAGATTAATCTGGAGATAATGGGATAGAATGGGTTGGGGGGACACTACAGGTGGTGAGATCAGTTAGAAGACTATTGCAGTGATCCATGCATGAGGTCATAACATCTTAGAATAAGACGATTGTGATGAGAAAGGTGAGATGAGAGAGAAGTTGATGGAAAAAGAAAAAAAAAGTCCAATATAATGAAAAGTGAGATGTCTAATGGGGAATATGGTTGTAAAATGAAGGAAAATATTTGGTTTTAGAAATACTTTGACTGAAGTACCTGATGGTCAGAGCTATGAAGGAAATATCCCACATTTTGTGCATATCCCAGACTGAAGCTTAAAAAATTTTTAGCCTAGAGAGATGGATTTGGGAATAGAAAACTTTGTATTACACATTATTAAAACCATAAGAATATAGGAGATATTTAAAGGTCAGAGAACATAGGAAAAAAATGGTCCTAGTACTGAATCTTGGGAAATGCCTGTATTTAGAATTTGGGCAATGGAAAGATGAAGCAATGGAAACTGAGAAGGAACATCAGAGAAGTAAGCACCATTTTGTGCTATGAGTACCGCAGATATTCCATTCTCTTAAGGCAATGATTCTCATTCTAACGAAATTGGTGAAAATCTGATATCGTTGGCTTAATTTTTTAACAATGCCACAGCTCTCCACAAAACTAATTATATTTTTTCTAGTAGGCTGATCAACTATATCTGCTCTGTATTCATTCTTATTTCCACTTCCCTATACTATTATCCATGCTGTTATTATTTCTCCTGAAAAATTTTCTAAGTTACTATGTTATTTTCTCTGAATACTTCAAATATATCACTCCACTTTCTTCTTGCCTGCATAGCTTCTGAGAAGTTAGGTGTAATTCTTATCATTGTTTCCCTTTTTTCCCCCTCTGACTTCTTTCAATATTTTATTCTTTAGGTTTTACTTCTTGAAGTTTGAATATGAAATGCCTAGATGTAGTTCCCCCCTACCCCTATTCATTCTATTTAATATTTCCTGAGCTTTCTAGATCTGTGGTTTGATATCCAACATTAATTTGGGGAAATTCTCAGTTCCTATTGCTTCAAATGTTGCTTCTCTTCCTTTCTTTCTTTTTCTTCTGATTTCTCACTTCACAAATATTTCACCTTTTGTAGCTGTCTCACAGTTCTTGGATATTTTATTGTTTTTCTTTCATTCTGTTTTCTCTTTGCTTTTCAGTTTTGGAAGTTTCTATTGATATATTCTCAAGTTCACTGATTCTTTCCTCAGGTGTGTCTACTCTACTAATTAGCCCATCAAAGGCATTCTTCATTTCTGTTACAGTGTTTTGATTTTTGGCATTTCTTTTCAATTTTTTCTTAGAATTTATATTTCTCTGCTTACATTATCAGTTCTTTCATATTGTCTATTTTTTCACTGGAGCCCTTGGCATACCAATTATAGGTTTTAAATTTTTAAAACAGAAAAGCATAGAGATTTACTAAAAAGTTACCTGATTCTATCACCCAGAACAAAATGTTTTCTAAACCCCTACCATTTAAAAATGTTCAGCTTAAGTGTTACTTATTTTGTGAAGTTACTTCTGTTCCTTATGACATCTTATAATTTTTTTCTTAAATCAACAGTTGTATTCCTCATGCTACTTAGGAAGTTTTGCCTTTTTGTTAATTTCTATCATTAGAACATTAATGTTTCAGTGTATACGGTTATTTCTTTTTATACATTTAAAAATATAGGTGATATCATAATTTTTATACATTTAAAAATATAAGTGTCTAAGTTTTAAACATACAGGTTTTTCTCAGTCCAAAATCAGTATATATTATTTGTAGATAATGTATTATCTACTTAAGCAAAATGATAAAATATAAATCACTATATTCTTTTTAAGCAGGGAAAATGTGTGATCAATATTTATGGGTATGTGTATCTTTTCAGGTGTGTTTATATCTAAGTTTCTGTGTGCTTACATATTTTAATGTAAATGTATTGGCTATATTATATAACACACCTTTCCTCATACTATTGTCTTTAATTAATTTTGTAGTACAAGCAATAGAAAAATAGTTCGAAGTGCTATGGGAGATAACATGAAGAGACGGTTGGTTATCTATGATCCTGTAAAATTCAGGATAAACTTTTAAGATGACAGAAACAATTATTAATTTGCTTGTCGATAAAATTGATTATCACTTCTTTGAGAATAGTGGAATTTATCTTTACTTTTAGGAATTCCACACATGGTGTATCTCAAGAGTGAAAAAGTTAGCCACTATAAAGCAATTGCCAGCCATGTATCAGATTCATTCTCTGAGATCTTCCATTACCCACTTAGAATAAATAAGCCTTATGGGCATTCAAGCCAAAGCTCAGGGATTTCTCCAATTCAAAGAAATTTTTGAAACTAAATTCACCATATCTTTTTTCTTTTTATCAATGACTAAAGAAAACAATGACACCTCACACTCTGGACATCTCTAATGCCTACTGTGTATTTTCTCATCTCCGCTAATATCCCTCCCCTATCTCTCACCTCAAAGTATCTGAAATACTTGCTATGTTCCTGTCTCCATCTTTCCTCAAAAAACATTGTTTATTTGAAGTTCTCTTTAGTGGAGACTGTTTAACATTTCTCACCCATGGCATCCTCCTTGGTCACCATTATAGTTTACTCTCTATCTCATTAGAACAAAATTCTTTGTGCTTTAAGGCCCATGCAATTTACTCAGACAATTTTCTTCCTCTCACTGTCACTATGATAAACCACCTTGGACAATCATCCTCATTTAGCTTAAAACTCATTCACTTATTCAACAAAAATTTTAACACTATTTTCTAAGTCAATGGCCATTCTAGGCACTAGGCATTCTGCAGAAAACAAAACAAATTAAGTTTTACTTTCTGTTGGTTTCCATAACAACACTTTCTCCTGTTTCCTCTCCCTCTCCCCCAATGACATTTTTAAAAATCTGGTTCTAGGGCATCTTCCTCTGCTCAGTTTTAACTCTTGTTCTCTGTATGTCTTATAAATCAAGTGCCATGTATATGCTGATTACTCCCAAATTAAAATAGTTGACTAAGAATTATGTATACTCAATAAATTTGTGGGCTTAGGTTTGAGTTTGGTGCTTTTCCAAAAACTAATAACTATCACCTCATTTTAATGTTCATGTCCCTCTTTTTCATAAACAGCAACCATAGGTAATTAGCTTTTCCTGGTAAACATCATTCAGTATGCTCCCACGTATTTCCCCTTGCATATATAAGACTACATTGTAGTTCTATCTATCTACATGATAGAACCAAAATTAACCTGAATGAATGCATTTTGTTATACTATTAGTGTATTTTAATAATTAATGTTGTATATGCATAAACATTGATTGTTCCTTAGAACAATTAAAAATAATTTAAGTCGTTTTTCTGGACATTAAAAACATGGTTTGTCTCAGCAGGTGAAACCGCGTTGGTAACCACCATTTTAAATTGACGTAACATTTTACTTATTATTCAATAATTAAATTACCTTTTAAATTTTTAACAAATTTATTATTTCAGAAGGAAGATTATCATTTCTTATTATTTTCAATAAAAATTTATAACTTAAATGTATTAGTCCTAACATAAACCAGTTCATAGAATGAGTGTTTTAGTTCTTTTTATTTTATTTTATTTTTATGTTTTATTTTATTATTATTATATTTTAAGTTTTAGGGTACATGTGCACAATGTGCAGGTTTGTTACATATGCATACATGTGCCATGTTGGTGTGCTGCACCCATTAACTCGTCATTTAGCATTAGGTATATCTCCTAATGCTATCCCTCCCCCCTCCCCCCACCCCACAACAGTCCCCAGAGTGTGATGTTCCCCTTCCTGTGTCCATGTGTTCTCATTGTTCAATTCCCACCTATGAGTGAGAATATGTGGTGTTGGGTTTTTTGTTCTTGCGATAGTTTGTGTTTAAGTTCTTACTGTGTGCATAATATTGTATTAAGCATTATCAAGTAATGGTACCAAAACAATACAAGAAGTATCTTCATAAGTTCAATGAGGTGAAGAGTTTGAATTTATCCGTATCATTATTTATTTAAATTGTGAATTATTATTTAAGCTACTGAAAACTATTACACGGGACTAATCTTGTGTCAGCACTGGAAGTTGGAAATGATATAAATCAAATGCAAATCTCAAAGAACCACTTGAATAACTGATTTTGTGAAAATTATCAGTAGTTTTCTGTCTCTTTTTAATTATACCCTAGCTACCAAGATAATACACCTCCTTAATGATTTGGGAGTATGTCCAACTCCTAATAACTTTTATACATGTTTAATGATATTTAATATTTTGAACAGGCTTTATGTCTAGAACTCTTCTTGGCCTACTCAATTAGTCTATTTGTGACAGTTCAGACTCAAGATTTTGCAATTTTTAAATTGTAGCTAGGTCAATCAACACATTCATCCTTTGATTAGAGGGCAAGATTATTTTATTTTCTGTTCTCTCATCACTTTCGGGTAAACAAAATTTATGTAAACCTAACAAAATACTCTTAAGCATCCTCATTGACCCCTCTAATTGCACAATTTTTTTCCTCCAAGGTGTCATCGAACAAGTAACTCATTTTAAGTTGTTTGTTTTTGTTTTTCTACTAATAAAGTTACAATTTTGTATTTAAAATGAATAGGATTGTCACATGCGTCTTCATGAATTCAACTGCCATTAATGTTTGCCTTTAATCAAAGAGGCTTTTATGGGATAAAAAGAAATTCTTATAAGATTTTGCTAACTTTTTTAGAATGCCCATACATTAAAATACATTTGTTGTTTGCACGTTTTGTTTATTTGAGGCCTTTACTTATTTTTTTATTTTTATTTCCCCATAAATATTGTTTTATATCTAATAAATTATTAATAGATTAAACTGGCAGACTGTGCATATGGGTTGATTAATTAAATATTCACACTTGAATAACTTCCTTAGCCCAATTTAAAACCCAGAACAAAATGTAAAAATATTAGTTTAGACATACAACAATATGAAGTTTTAATAAAGTTAAACATTTAAGCAAATCTATTTAAATGGTGACTTTGAATGTTTAATGTTGTGCTGCAGACATGACTCATTCTAGGATGAACAAATATTGTGCATTGGCATCATGCCTTAGCAGGAAATATTTTTAATGAATTATCTGTTGATTAAGAAAATCTTTGTTTTCAGATAGTAGAATGGTATTTACCAGGGGCTGAGAATGAGACAGGGCATGTGAATGGAAAGTGTTGGTCAAAGGGTACAGAGTTTCCATTAGATAGGACAAATAAGGTCTGGAAATCTATTGTACAACATGTTGACTATAGTTAATAGTAATGTATTGTGCATTTAATAGTTGCTAAGAAAGTATATTTTAAATGTTCTCACTACAAAAAGTGTTAAGTATGTGGGGTGATTTGTATGTTAATTAGCTTGACTTAATCATTCCACAATGTATACATATATCAAAACATCACGTTATACACATTGTACAACATAAACATATGTTGTACATATGTATTGACACACACATGTTTGTCAATTTAAAAATTTAATTAATTAAAGAAATAACAAATAACTATTGTAAAATAGGAAAGTTTTTTAGAAAAATAAATTTGGGAAGGAGAAGAAACAAAAATGTAAGAGGGTAAGAAGAAAAGAAGAGGAAAGACTTGGAAGGAAGAAACTAGAGGAAAGCGGAGAAAAATTTCAATCCCCATATTTCCCAGGTGAGAAAATTAAAGCCTGGATGTGGGACACAAAGTAAGATAGTGGCATTGTTGGAACTAAAACCCACAAAAAGATAACCAAATAATATTCCGCATGCAGGTGCTCAGAGTGGACCAAGTACCAATCTCTTAGAAGGCAGGAATAATGGGCTCATGAAACACAGACACTGGCCACTGAACCCTGGGTGGAAGTATGTGTCATGGAGACCTGTATGAGGCACCAGATCATTTAGCTCTACCTTGTACATCACCGACGATGGATTCAATCGTTTTTTCCTTTAACTGCTTCTCAATTTTTTATTCAAGGTGATCGACCTCCCTGCACAAGCCAGTAACAACCCTGATGGGGGGTGATGGAGAAAACCATTTTATTATGCTAGTGGCTATGGGGTCTGCACTCACGTGTGCAGATCAGCAGGGGCCAAGTAGCAGTGTGGCGTAATCTGTTTGCACATGTGCACCAGCAGCAGTGGAGTTGCAATGGGGCAGTACTGCACTATGCATCTGGAGATATTCAGCAGTTTGTGAATTATCCCACAGATCAGGACACATGGACACGGTCAAATATAACCAGAACTACTCCAGAAGGAGCATTTTAAAAAACAATGCATTTATATCAGCACTATGAAAACACACTTTTATTTTATAAAAATCAAATCAGAAGAAAGAGCCAAGATGGCCAGCTGGATGCAGTCAAGAAATCTTTTTCCACAGAGCCCAGACCATCAAGACGACCAGCTCACTCCAAGCAGTTCTTTGGAAGGAAGACATTCAGAGTGGATGGAGGGAGGATCCTGTCCCCTAGGCTGAAGAGAGAGGAATCTCGAAACTCGGCACGAGGATGCTGAGCACCAATACTGATTCCTGGCCCCAAGCACCTCCTGGGGAAAGGATGAGTTAAATAGGCATGAAGTGGCACAATCCTCTTGTGGACCTTGGGAATTCTGGCCATGAAAGAGTCTATGACCCCCACAGACATTTGAGCTGGCAGGGAGAACTGCTTGGAGAATAGGCAGGAATGGGATCCCAGCACATGCAGGGCCCAGAGGGTTTGGAATAGGAATCTCTGCAATGGAGCACAGCCAAAGATGCTTATCTTGTAACACTCACCACACCTTTGGACTTTATTAATTTTGGGATCTATACAGAACCTGATTATCTTGCCCACAGACAGAGCCAGTCTGACCTCAGCATTCCTCTGTCTGTTGCCCTTTCCCAAGGTCCCTGCATGATTACACCCACTTGCAGTGCAGCCTCACATGCCCAACCAGGGCACTTTAGCCCTGGAAGTGGTGACTACCACTTCCGCAGCTCCTTCACTGGCAGGCTTCACCTGATCATCAGAGACCTCCCATAGAAGGGCCTCCACGGTCACTCACCCCCAACATACCCCCACTGCATTGCTGGTGCAAGCACACACACTGACCTTGCTGTCTAGCTGCCATCAGTGGGCACACACACATGAAACTTGCCACCACACCCACTGGTGTGTGCATGCACATGAACACCACCCCCATGCCACTACTGATGCACGCACGCAAGCAGACCCAGGCAAAGCTGCTGCCACACTGCACCATTGACACTCCACTGCTGCCAGTGTACACGTGCACATGGACTATGCCATGCTGCCACTTAACCACTGCTGATGTGCACATGTGAGTACAGACCTCACAGCCACTGACCCAATGAAATTGTTTTCCTATTACCCCCGCATCAGAATATTGTTACTGATAGACTGGAAACACCTTCATCCCTCCTGAACATTAGGTGCTTAGCCTCAAGGAGACAGAGAACAAAGCCATGGGCCTGGTCCCAGCCACCCAAGGGTTAGAGCATGCAGCCCAAGAGTGCTAAGTTTAGCCTTGGATTCCTGAAATCCTGCAGAATCAAAGCCAGTCAACTGAACCCAACTTATACCAGAGTGAAACCCTTATGGGGCTGTTTGCTTTTATATCAAACAATATATTAGAAAACAATATATTATTTGCTTATATATTGATATAACAATAATTGTTAAACAATATAAAAGCAAAAAGCCCCATCCAAAGGAGAGCAACTTCAAAGTTTAAAGGAATGTCAGCCCACACATATGAAAAACAACCAGTGCAAAAACTCTGGCAACTCAGAAAGTCACCATGACTTTTGACCAAATGATAACACTAGCTCCTCTAAAATGATTCTTAACCAGGGTGAAATCGCTGACATAGAATTCAGAATCTGGATGGCATCATGGATCATCAAGATTCAGAAGAAGGTTGAAACACAACCCAAGGAATTAAGGTGCCAAGTAATATGATAGAAAAGATGAAAGGTGAAATAGCCATTTTAAAAAAGAACCAAACTGACCTGACAGAGTGGAAAATTTTCCTGCAAGAATTAATAATTCAATTGGAAATATTAACATAAAAATAAACAAAGCTGGTTAAAGAATCTCAGAGTTCTAAGACCAGTTCTTCATATTAACTCAGTCAGACAAAAATTTTAAAAAAGAATAAAATATAAACAAAACTTCCAAGAAATATGGGTTTATATAAACAGACAAAACCTATGACTCAAAGGCATCTCTAAGAGGGAAAGACAGCAAGCAACTTGGAAAACATATCTGAGGATATTGTCCACAAAAATTTGTCCTACTTTGCTAGAGAGGTCAGCATTAAAATTCAGGAAATGCAGAGAACCCTTGTGAGATGCTAACCAAGGTGTCTATCTGCAAGACACATAATCATCAGATTCTCCAAGATAAATGAAAAAAAATTAAAGGCAACTAGAGATAAAGGGAATGTCACCTAAAAAAGCAACCCCATCAGGATAACAGTGGACCTCTCACAGAAACCTTGCAAGGCAGAAGAGATTAGGGGTCTACATTCACCATTTTTTAAAAAAAGAATTTCCAACCAAGAAACATATCCAGACAAACTAAGCTTCATAAGCAAAGTAAGACAAACAAATGCTAAGGGAATTTATTACCACCAGACCTACCTTACAAGACGTCCTTAAGGGAGTGAAAAACTTGGAAACAAAAAACCATTACCAGCCAATGACAAACACCTATACACACACACACACACACACACACACACACACACACACACACACACAAAGTACATAGACAGTTGACATTATAAAGGAACCACACAATCAAATCTACATAACAAACAGTTCACAACATGGTAACAAGGTCAAATCTGCACATAATAACATTAACCTTCAATATAAGGGACCAAATGCCCCCACTTAAAAGGCAGAGAGTGGCAAGTTGGATAAAGAAACAAGAGCCAAAGTTACGTTGTCTTCAAGAAAACTATCTCACATGCAATGACACTGATAGGCCTAATGTAGACGGATGGAGAAAAATCTATCAAGCAAATAGAAAACAACAAAAAGCAGGAGTTCCTATTCTTATTTCAGATAAAACAGACTTTAAACCAACATCAATCAGAAAGAAAACTGAAGGGAATTACATAATGATAAACTGTTGAATTCAACAAGAAGACAACTATTCTAAATATACATGCAATCAACACTGGAACACCTAGATTTATAAAACAGTTTCTTAGAGACTATGAAGAGACTGAAATAGCCATATAATAATATTGGGAGATGTTAATATGCCACTGAGAATATTAGACAGATCAAGGCAGAAAACTAATAAAGCTATTCGGGACCTAGACCAAATGGACCTAACAGACATCCACAGAGCACCCCATGCAGTAACAACAGAATATACATTTTTCTTATATGCACATAGTACATACTAAAAAATCAACCATGCACTAAGCCAAAAAGTAATTCTTAACAATTTCAAAAGAACCAGAATCATATCACCTGCACTTACATAGAAAGTAACTAACCTGCTCCTGAAAGACTTTTGGGTAAACAATGAAAGTAAGGTAGGAATCAAAAAAAATTTGAAACTAATGAAAATAAAGTTACATCATAGCAGAATCTACAGGAGATTCAGTGTTAAAAGGAAAGTTTACAGCATTAAACACCCAATAGCAAAGTTGGAAATGTCTCAAGTTAAAAACCTAACGTCTCACCTAGAGGAACCAGAAATACAGAAGAAGACAAACCTGAAAGCTAGCAGAAGAAAATAAATAACCAAAATCAGAACAGAACTTAATTAAATTGAGATGTGAAAAACCATACAAAAGATCAACTAAACAAAAAGCTGATTCTTTGAAAGAATAAATAAGATTGATAGACCACCAGTTAGAATAATATAGAAAAAGAAGTGAGAATATTCAGATAAACACAATCAGAAATGACCACCAGCCCCACATAAATACAAACAACTCTCAGAAATTATCACAAATACTTCTATACATATAAACTAGAAAACCTAGCAGAAATGGATAAATTCCTGAAAGCATACAACCTCCGAAGATTGAAACAGGCATAAATTGAAATATTTAACAGACCAATAACAAGTTCCAAAATACAGTAAGTAATTTTAAAAACCTACCAGCTATGAAAAACCATGGAACAGGCAGACTCACAGTCTAATTCTACCACATGTATGAAAAAGAGCCAGTTACCAACCCTGCTAAAACTATTCCAAAAAACCGAGGAAGAAAGACTCCTCCTAAACTCATTATAGGAAGGCAGGAATAGTCTGACACCCAAACCTAGAAGTTTCATACCAAAACTGAGAAACAGTTTGATACTGAAACTGACAAAAGAAAACCTTTGGCCAATATTCTAGATGAACATAGATGAAAAAATATAAAAAAATCCTAGGAAACTAAACCAAAAACTAATCCACCACAATCAAGTAGGCTTTATCCATGGGATGCAAGGTTGCTCCAAATCAATGAATTTGATTCACTGTATAAATGGAACTAAAACCAATAAGCACATAATCATCTCAATAGATGCAGAGAAGGCTTTCGATAAAATAAAATTCAACATTACTTCATATTAAAAACCCTCAAAAGATAAGGCATCAAAGGAACATACCTCAAAATAATAAGAGCTCTCTATGACAAACTGACTGCCAACATCATACTGAATGGGCAAAAGCTGGAAGCATTCATCTTGAGAACTACAACAAGAAAAGGAAGCCCTCTATCACCACTCCTATTAAATATAGTACTTGAAATCCTAGACAAAGCAGTCAAGCAAGAGAAGAAAATAAAAGGCATTCAAATATGAAAATAAGTCTAACTATCTCTCTCCACTGAATATATGATTCTACACTTAGAAAAGGCTAAGAACTCAACCCAAAGGCTTTTAGAACCAATACACAATTCTATCATGATTTCAGGATATTAAATCTATGTACAAAAATCACTAGCGTTTCTATACATCAATGACATTCAAGCTGAGAGCCAAATTAAGAATGTAATCTCATTAACAATAGCCACAAAAGAGCAAAATACCTAGGAATACGGCTAATCAGGGAAGCCATGTGCATGTATAGGAAGAATCAATATTGTTAAAATGGCCATATTGCCCAAAGGAATTTACCAATTCAATGCTATTTCTATCAAACTTCTAAGGATATTTTTTCACAGAAGTAGAATAAACTATTCTAAAATTCATATGGAACCAAAGAAAAAAAGACCAAAGAGAGAAAGTAATCCTAAACAAAAACGGCAAAGCCAGAGGCATCACACTACCTGACTTCAAACTATACTACAAGGCTATAGTAACCAAAACAGCATGGTGATGGTACCAAAACAAACATACAGACCCATGGAACAGAATAGAGAGCACATAAATAAAGCCACAAATCTATAACTATCTGATCTTCGATAAAGTCAACAAAGAAAGCAATGGGGAAAGACACTATTCAATATATAGTGCTGGGATAACTGGCTAGCAATATGCAGAAGATTGAAACTGAATCCCTGTCTTATACCATATACAAAACTCAACACAGGATGGATTAAAAAAAAATGTAAAACCTAAAACTATATAAACCCTTGAAGAAAATCTTAAAAATACCATTCTGAACATCTACCCTGGCAAAGACTTTATGATAAAGTCTTCAAAATTGATTGCAACAAAGACGAAAATTAACAAATGGGACCTAATTAAATTTAAAAGCTTCTGCACAGCCAAATAAACTATCAGCAGAGTAAACAGACAACCTACAGAATGGGAGAAAATATTTGCAAACTATGCTTCCAACAAATGTCTGATATCCAGAATCTATAAGGAACTTAAGCAAATCAACAAGCAAAAAATAAACAACCTCATTATAAATTGGGCAAAGGACATGAACAGACAATTCTAAAAGAAGACATAGACACAGCAAACAAACATATGAAAAAGTGTACTAAATCAATAAGCATCAGGGAATTGCAAATCAAAACCACAGTGAGATACCATCTCACACCAGTCAGAATGCCTATTATTAAAAAGTCAAAGATAACAGATTTTGGTGAGGTTTCAGAGAAAAGGGAATGGTTATACACTGCTGGTGAAAATGTAAATTAGTTCAGCCCCTTTGGAAAGCAGTTTGGAGATTTCTCAAAGAACTTAACACAGAAGTACCGTTTGACCATTTGACTCAGCAGGAATAGAAAGCCAAACACTGCACATTTTCACCTATAATTGTGAACTAAACATTGAGTAGGCGTGAACACAAAGAAGGGAACAATGGACAATGGGGATCTATCTATAAAAGCAAATCCATAAGTGTTTAGGGGGTTGCAGTATGCATATATTTTTTATTATCCAATTAATTAATTGTTTCCAAAAGATCACTTCCAAAAATGTGTGTTCTTTTTACTTTCCTTTTGTCATCTTTTTTAGCATTGTAGGCACCTTCCTGCATGTAATGGGCTGCTTTTAACAATCTTGGAATAGCTACATACCATCAGTATCTCCTCTTTTTGTTCAAGTTGATCCAAAAAACAACAACCTCAGTCTAGGCAAATATGTAGGAAGGTACTGAGAGCCCCAGAAACCCTCAGAAGCTTTTGTTTGGTATAAATAGACAAGTTGGTTATGCTTGAGAGACAACTGCAACTTTTTTACTGACAAATACCCTGTAGTTTAAATAAGTGTGACCGTGAAGTGTATGTGTGCATCTGAAGTATGTGTCTTCCTGTGTGTACACATTTATCTGAAAAATCCATAGAATGCTAGGCACTTCCTTTGAAAAGTTGCTCAACTGGTCTTGTTTACAAAAAATGGCAGAGGAACTGGTCTTTTCACAATGGTTTTCCCTGGCTTCTTTCAAATAAAATAATTGGTGGGGGTGGGGACAAAAATGGAAACAGGTAAGTACTTTGTACCTAGGTCTTTTGAAGAGAAATTCAAGAAGGAGAGGAAATGGATTGGTATATTTCTCAAGAACACATTAACCATCTGTCAAATACAAACTAATGGAGGCATTAGAAAGTATATTTTCTTAGCAAGTGAAAGAGAAGTGAATTTTACACCAACAGTAAATTGGAGCGAGAAAAGATGAGTAAATAAGTTTGTATTTTTAATGAAGTATCTTTTTTAATGAGTTATTTTGAGTAAGCTGGACAATTAGAGAATCTTATTTGTTTATTTTTTCTTCTTAATTGACAAATAATAATTTTATGTTATATTTTTATGAGGTACAATGTGATCTTTACGTTGTTATAATGTGATGTGTACAACAGATTTACATTATGGAATGATTAAGTCAAGCAAATTAATAAATCCAGTACCTCACATACCGTGGTAGTTCATTCTCACACTGCTAGAAATAAATACCCAAGTCTGGGTAATTTATAAAGGACAGAGGTTTTATTTACTCACAGTTCTGCATTGCTGGGGAGGCCTCAAGAAACATACAATCATGGCAGAGGGCAAAGGAGAAGTAAGCACCTTCTTCACAAGTTGGCAGGATGAAGTGAGTGCAAGCAGGGGAAATGCCAGATGCTTATAAAACCATCAGATCTCATAAGACTCACTCACTCTCATGAGAAGAGCATGGGAGAAACCACCCCCATGATCCAATTACCCCCGCCCAGTCCTGCCCTTGACACTTGGGGATTACAGGGATTATAATTCAAGGTGAGATTTGGGTGGGGACACAGAGCCAAACCATACAACATACTTATCATGTTTTGTGGTGAAAACGTTTAAATCTACTCTTCTAGTAATTTTGAAATACACAGTGCATTATTATTATAGTCACCATTCTGTGCAACAGATCACTAAAGCTTATTCCGTCTGTCTATCTAAAATTCTGTACTCTTGATCAACATCTTTTCTTTCCCTAACCACTCCCCTTCCCCAGCCTCTGGTAACTACCATTATACTCCCTACTTCTATGAGTTCAACTTTTTTGATCCCATTTATAAAGGAGATTATGCAGTATTTGCATTTTCTTCCTGGCTTAATTCACTTAATATAATATCCGCCAGGTTCACTTATGCTGTCAGAAATTTTCAGTATAAAGAAGGACTATTAGTACAGGAGTCAGTAAACATTTTCTGTAATTGGTCAGATAGTAAATATTTTTAGCATTTTGGGCCATGCAGTCTTGGCTACAATATGACTCTGCCATTGTAGTGCAAAAGCACCATAGACAATATAAATATATGGTTATGTTCCAACAAAACTTTATTCACAAATACAGTCAACAGACTGGATTTGGCCCACAAGATACAGTTTGCATAAAAATAATAGATGTTTTAATAGGCTGTAAGTACACTTCTAACTTGAGAAAATATTGTTATAGTTTAATATGATGAGCAAACTTATTTCGCTATTGGTTTCTAGCATTGTCTCTTTGAAATGTTATCTTAAGAAGTTTCATAAAATATATACCCATCCCTTGTAGGGGTGTTACATTTCCTTTTTAAGGTTGATTAAAACCAATCTGATATGTAATAAAATGATTTAATTTTATGAACCAATTTAAGTATATGTATCAAAAGGCAAGTAGATTGCATTAACTTCAGTCCAAAGAAGTGGATTCAAGTCTAAACATCAATGTTAAACTAAAAGTTTGATTTACATACAAGATCTCTTACTTGAGAAAAAAATTATCAAGCGAAAATAGAGATATCCTTCTTTAAAATATGTTAGATAGTAAGAATTCAAAATTACATGAAAATCACAGTTCTCTTTCAAGTTTAATAGGGTGCAATAAGTCTAGGAGCAAAGAAGGAAAAATAAAACTTGTCCTTATCATTATTGTAAGGAATTTGTAAAGACTACTGTATATATGTGTTTGGAATTGAGAATATCTTAAAGGGAGAGCACAGCTATCAGGGACAGACAACTTTGTCATACAAAGATCTCTAGTGTGTTGCTGAAGAGTCGACTATTGTTTAGCAGTATGCTATTAGGTTGGTGCTAAAGTAATTGCAGTTTTCAACCATTACTTTTAATGGCAAAAACTGCAATTACTTTAGCACCAACCTGATATAAGAACATTCTTCCTAGAGACACTGCAGAAAAACCTAGAAAGAACCAAGAAAATGTATCGCAGCTATCAATAATGCTTAAGCATGGAAATGGAGCAGATCAGACAACAGAACTTTTTCTACGCTAATGTATTTACCATTGTCTCTGTATTTTTTAATTTAAAGATATAATAGAGCCAATTAATTTCTTTTTCATTATAAAAGAAGACATGGGCCATGTATATAAAGGGGTAAAAACACAATATGCATGTTTCTGAGTAGTGAGAATATGCATAAGACCAGTAACAGTCTCCACATGATATAGAAGCAAATGTTTCTTGAATGTCTTTATACTGAAAGAACTAGGGGGGTCCTCTTGCAGGGCACATGGAGAATATTAATGACAGAGAAGAGTAAAGTTGACACATTGGACTTTAAAATTTTTTGTCAAATGAACTCACTGGCTTTCTCCACCTGTCAGTCTGCTTTTAGAGTAACTACAGTGATTCTATAGTCTCCAGGAGAAACTCTATATAAATCATAATTATTTTTAGAAAATTTTAATGATGTAAATTACACCTACCCGCCTTTGTTTCTTATCTGCGTAACACTAGTATTTGTTGAATTTTAACTTCTGAAAGACTTCATAATGTATGTGGGTAATTTTTTAAAATAAACTTGTGTAATAAAATTTGCTATTCTCTCTAGGGCCCTTATAAATTCATTTTGAAATTGTCTATTATTTGACCAAGCCCTAAGTTCATACTTCATGCTTTTACTACAGGTGCTCTTCACTGACAGAATTCAGAGAATGGTCCTTTTTCCTTTCTTTTTATGTGTCACTTATTAAATAATGTCAAGATGAAAAAAGATTTTGTGATACATAGCCTCAGGTGTAAAATAAAAAGGGATAAAGAGCTTTGCAAATAAGTCTACATTCTGCAAGATGTGCACAATATGCAATAATATAATACTGAAAGAGTTTTTCAAATTTGGGGTTTCTTTTCATCCTTTTATAAAAGAATGAAAAAGAGAGATATCTGTGGCGTATGTTCATGCAGGCCACAATCTACAGGTCAGGTGGTTTGTCTAATAGGCAACTGTATTGTAGATGGAAGATTAACTGCTACAGTCTACCAATATTTATTTTGATGTGTAAGAATCTTAACTAAAAGATTATAATTGCATTGTTTGTAACACAAGGGATACATGCTTGAGGAGATGCCTACCCCATTCTCCATGATATGATTATTATACCATGCATGCCTGTATGAAAACATTTCCTGTACCCTATTAAAATATATACCTCCTATGTACCCACAAATATTAAAAATAAGAAAATTGAAAAGAATCTACTAAAGCACCGTACATATAGTTCTATTCATTCACATATTAACATCTATGCAATCTTTACTCAAAGAGCAAAGTGTTGGAAATTCTGTTTGCCATTTTAATTTTTTTAGCCACTATGAGTACATATATACTATAAACTTCATTTGGAACAATAATATTTATGCTTCAGACATCTACAACTCAAGTGGAAAGATATGATGTAAAAGATGGTACAGAAAATGTTGACTGTAGCTTTAAATAAATTTCTCCAAATATTTTTTTCTTTATGAAAGCAACAAGAGCTTAAGCATCTCCTGCTGTCTTGTTCGACATCCACTATTGCCCATCTGCCTATTGATTGGTAGGAAACTCCAAATGGGAATTTTATCTCATTAATCATGTCATATCACAGGGATTAGGACAAAAAAAAAACCCTTTATGCTTCACAGCAGACATCTACTGCCCAGTAAGAGAAGTGAATAAATATAAAATAGAATATCTTTACACTAATTAAAGGTCATCTGCTATAAAATTTTGCAGAAGAATTGCTTAGATTATGTTGTAATCAGTTCCCAGTCTCTGTACAATGAATAATTTGGAAACACTCTAGCATTTCAATTTTCATTTATTTTCTCATAGCCCAGAAATATGATTATTAAAAATCATGCAAAAATTTGTCTATATATAAAAATAACATGATCACATTTAATTATACATAAAACATCATGAATAAAATAAAATGAAATTACATGATACTTTCTTTTGGTATTTGGCTTTGCATGAATTTTCATACAAGAAGACATTTATTTATAACCTCTGAAGATGAAAACCAAATTAGAGTAGACCAAAAAACTAAACACATGATTATATATTTATAATTCAATCAGTGGTACTTAAAATCATATTCATATAAAGTATCACTAATATACAGGCTGCAGTTCAAATTTAAAGTATATGAAGAACACTTTTCAACTCATTTTTAATTATCTTGACTATTCAAGGCCACCAAGACTATGTACAGAGCTCCTATAGTTCCTCCACTGGTATCCCACAAACATTGTATGTATAAGATTTGATTGATGATTTTAGTACTGCTTCATAACTACTTCACAACTAGATTCATTTCCTCATACACCCTCAGTGTACTACTCAACCAGACTGTGGCCAGAAATCATTGAATATTCTCCCCTGAATCCACTGCTTATCTTTATCAACGAAGTTAAAAGATGAGAAATATTAAATAGAAAGAGTTATAAAAAAATTCTAACTATAATGTAGGCCTTATCCTTTAACACTTTCTGGCCTCTAGTGTACCACTAAGTATGCTAAGATGTTTTGCTATGTGTTACATTAAGTTGTATATGTGCCAATCAAAAAGGATTCTGTGAGGAAAAATGACAAGTGAAGTGAGAACTACATTGACCATTAAAAACCTCAAAAAAAAAAAATGTGCTGTTGCTCATGCCTGTAATCCCAACACTTTGAAAGGCCTAGGTGGGTGGATCACTTGAGGCCAGGAGCTTGAGACCAGCCTGGCCAACATGGCAAAACCTCATCTCTACTAAAAATACAAAAATTAGCTGGACTTGGCAGTGCACTTCTGTAGTCCCAGCTGTCTAGGAGGCTGAGGCACGAAAATCACTTGAAACCTTGAGGCAGAGGTTGCAGTGAACCAAGAACCCACCACTGCACTCCTGCCTGGGTGACAGAGCAAGACTCTGTCAGAAAAAAAAAAAAACAACAACAAGCAAACAAACAAAAGAAACACGTCACAATATCTGACAAAAACCTGGAATGTCTGCAAAAACGATGCAAATATACTCTATAGTTTTACCATTTTCCAAAACCAATTGCCTGTGCATGAATATGATTGTGCACACTTGGACACACACACAGAGAGAACACACACACACTGTGGTATGCAGAATTTTAAGATGATCCTCAAGATTCCTTTCTCCAGTGGTACACATCCTATGTAGTCACCTTCCTTTAAATGTTGGTGGAAACTATGATTGTAATGGAGTATCACTCCTATGATTGTGTTACTCTGCATAGAAAAGGGGTTTTGAAGATGTTATTCAGCTGTCTAATCGGTTGACTTTTATTAATCAGAAGGGAAATTACACTGGGTGAACCTTATGTTATCAGGTGAGCCAGTCAAAGACAGAAGAAGCAGCAGAAATTCTCTTTTCGGTCTTGAAGGATAAAACTGCCATGTTGTTGGGAGGTTCATATGGAAGGGAACAATAGGAACACCCTAGAAGATAAGGGCCTCAGTCCTACAACCACAAAGGAGTGAATTCTGCAATCAAATAGTGAGTTTGGAAGAGGACACCAAGACTCAGATGAGATCACAGCTTCAGCCAACCTGCTAAATGCACTGTAGTGAGACCCTAAGTAGAGGGCCTAGTGAACTCGTACTCAGGCATCTGACCCATGGAAGATAATACATTTGTGTTGTATTAAGCTGCTAAGATTATAGTAATTTGTGATGCAGCAATAGAAGACAAATATACACATTCACATATATACTTTTAGTGTAAGGTTTCCATGATTAATTACTAATACACTACTGGGTATATGTGTTTGACAAGTGTTTTAAACCTTAAATAGCTATTTCTGAAGGGGATTGATGTGTTGTAAATGTTTTGTGTTCTTGTATATCTATAAAATGCTTCCCCTGGCTTTTACAATTTGCTTTGACTCCAAGAAAGGAAGGATCAAATAGGAAAGCCAATAAGCTAACAATTTTTGTTTTGTTTGTCTGTGAAGGGGATACTTCGTTTTCTCCAAATATTTAAAATTTCACCCGGAAACCTAAGTTAAACTATCCTGCCAATCACGTATGTGAGAAGCTGCAGAACTGCCCTGAAGTCAACCTCTGATTTATAGTAAGGTCTCACGGGATTCACCTACTAATGCCTCTGAAAAGATTTTATTCAAATAGCCTCATGATTTCAAATGGCTTCACCAATTACTCTTAGGCAATACTGACAGAGATAACAAACACTGGCAATTATGTCTTTTCTGCTTTTATACTTTTATTTCCCCCTCAAATTAAAATCTCCTGAGACACCTATTTCCCACCGTCCTGTTTGCTGGGCATCTCTACGTACATATAGGCCTAGGTACCTCCCACCTACATAGTCAAAACCTAACTCAGTCAGCTTTTCTCTAAATATTCCAAATTTTGCTTTCCAATTTTTTTCTCTTTGTTAACAGCATTATCATCCTTGTATGTACATAAGTTCAAAATCACATTGTAGTAATTTTATATAGAGTATATCAGAAGTTTTATTCTTTTAAAAAATTCGAATAGCTAATAAATACCCTTGGTTCAAATAAAAAATGCAAGATATACAATACAACTCTCCTTGACACCTTCATTTCACATTTACTTAGTTTCACTCTATCTCCCATTACACAAAAATGATGATTTTTATTAATTTATTTTGTATTCTGCCATAAGGTAATTGTGCATACAAAAAATTTGTAATATATTCTCATTTTTTACACAAAACAATTTATCCATACATTGATTTGTACGTTGTTTTTTCTCTTAATATCTTTTAGTATTATTTTCTAAACAGTACATTTAGAGCATGTTCACTCTTTTATTACAGATAAATAATATTCCATTGTACACACACGCTGTAACATAGAGAGTTCTCTTTGGTGGAAGTGTATATTATTTCTGATATGTTGCTCTTACAAACAAAGCTGCAATGAATAATTTTGCATACATTTCATTTTGTGTGTGTGCTACTGAAATGTGCAAAAATATTCCTGAAGTAGAAAAGTGCTATCAAAGGATATATGAATTGGTACTTTTGATAATTATTGCCAAGTGTTATACTGGTTTACATTCCAACCAGCAATATTCAAGTGTCAGTTTCCCCACAGTCTAAGCAACAGAGTGTGTCATCAAACTTTTAGAATCTTTTAATGTCTTATAAGGAAAAAAATGCTACTTCAGTATTGTTTTATTTCTATTTCTCTTACCATAATTTTGGTTGAACAACTATTCTTTTTTTTTTTTTTTTTTTTTGAGATAGAGTCTCGCTCTGTTGCCCAAGCTGGAGTGCAGTGGTGCGATCTCGGCTCACTGCAAGCTCTGCCTCCTGGGTTCACGCCATTCTCCTGCCTTAGCCTCCCGAGTAGCTGGGACTACAGGCACCCGCCACCATGCCCAGCTAATGTTTTGTATTTTTAGTAAAGACAGGGTTTCACCATGTTACCCAGGATGGTCTTGATCTTCTGAACTTGTGATCCACCCTCCTTGGCCTCCCGAAGTGCTGGGATTACAGGCGTGAGCCACTACACCCGGCCCTGAACAACTATTCTTAAATTTGAGAGTTATCTGTATTTATTTTTTCAGGAATTGTTTTTTCTTATTCTTTGCCTATTTTCTACTAGGTGATTGTTCTTTTTTATTTTTGATTTTGGAGCTATTTATATATTAGAGAAATTAGTTCTTTATTCTAGGAACTGCAAATATTTTTCCTGCTGGGTACCTGTATTTGAAGTCTGGTTATGGGTTTTTTAGTCATTACTACATATTTATTTATTTTTAAATTTTAAATTTTAAATTCAAGGGGTATATGTGCAGATTTGTTACATGAGTATATTCCATGATGCTAGGGTTTGGGCTTCTATTAATCTCACATGACTACATTTTTAAAAAACTTAAAATGGAATTATGTCATAATAAACCCATTGTAAATTTAAAGTAGAGTAAGTAAAAAATGCGTGGCTGAGAGCTGCTGCTCACTAGCACTACCCAGCATTGCAATAGAAGCACAGTTTCTACTGAACACGCATCAGTTTTGCACCAAAATAAACTCAAAAATTAAGTGAAACATCTTAAGTCGGTGATTGTCTGTAGTTTAATTATCAATCTTTCATAACTCTTGGATTTCAAGTCATAACTTGGAAGGTTTTCTCCATTCCGAGGTTTTAGATAAATTATTCCAAGGTTTCTTCTAATAGTATTATAGTTATCATTTGTTTTATTTTATATTTCAGTTAACAAATAGTATCTGTATATATTCATGGGGTGCATAGTGATGTTTTGATACATGTAATGTATAGTGAGCAGATCAGGGTAGTTAGCATATCCTTCATCTCAAATATTTATCATTTATTTGTGTTGGGAGCATTCAATATATTCCTTCTAGCTACTTAAACTACATAATATATTATTGTTAACTATAGTCATGCTACAGTCCTATAGAACACTAGAACTTATTCATCCTACTAGCTGTAATTTTACATCCTTTAACAAATTTCTCCCTATTCCTCCCATCCCCTACCCTTTTCTACTATCCTCGTTTCTACTTTTAACTTCTATGAGATGAACACTTTTTAGCTTCCATGTATGAGTGAGAACATGCAGTGTTTATGTTCCTGCTTACTTCATGTAACATAATGTCCATGGATAGGCCTGTATGTGTATTTCCAGTTTTACTTTCCCAAACTCCAACCCTGCATCCCCTTTCATTGACACGCTATTTCTGCCATATTGGTCATCTTGCCATTCTTTTAAAAAGTTGCCTCCTTTCTGTTTAAGTACCTCTGATTTAAAAAGAAAAATCCTTCTTTAAGGATATCCTATTTTTTTTTCCCTGAACCCATAGCTGTTGTTGAGGCATATAAGGCCCGTCTAAACCCCTAAACCTTCTACAAATCCTCTCAGATAGCCTACTTTCTCCCTTTCCCATTCTCACTGAATTATTTGCACCACAATTATAATACTTAAAGTCTACTTTTCAAAATATGTTTCATATTGGTCACTTTCAGTAGAACAAAAGCACTTTATAAGGCAGGGACAGTTACTTTTACATCTTTAATTATCTATACAGGTAACTTAGTGTTTTCTGATAGTAGTTTCTTAATATATTAAATTGAATTTCATTTTATCATCACTCCCCCTTTTCTTATTTATACATTTTTTTATTTTTAAATTTATTTTTTGAGATGGAGTCTCGCTGTGTCACCCGGGCTGGAGTGCGGTGGTGCCATCTCAGCTCACTGCAACCTCCGCCTCCCAGGTTCAGGAGATTCTCCTGCCTCAGTCTCCCATGTAGCTGGGATTACAGGCATGCACCACCATGCCCAGCTAATTTTTGTATTTTTAGTAGAAATAGGGTTTCACCATGTTGGCCAGGCTGGTCTCGAATTCCTGATCTTAAGTGATCCTCCCGCCACGACCTCTCATAGTGCTGCGATTACAGATGTGAGTTACCAGGCCCGGCCCTTCTTTATTATTATTATTATTATTTAATCTCTCTTCTTTTTCCTTCTTTTCACTATTCCATTTTTCCATTATTCTTTTTATTTCTTCATCTAACAAATACAGGTCTCAAAATCAATTTTCTTATAACAACATTTCCACCAGCAAATATAACACCCTGCAACATTCCACTATAATTGTTTTCTGTAAATCACTCCTCATTTCCCTGACCTCCTCCCACAAATCAACCATTTGGAGTCATAGTCTGAAAGTTTTTGTCTATACCCAGTTAATGGGAGAAATTTTAAACTACATCTAGTTTGTAGAATAATTCACCCATATTTTCCAGGTTCTTGTTTGGTTCTATATTTTTACATTTTGATTTCCAAACCACTTAGAGATTTTTTTTTCTTGGGTATAGTGTAAAACATAACGTGTTATATCTTAATAAATATTTCCCTTAGTAAACAATGCATAGCTGTAATGCAGATAATATTATGGAGCCTTGGCTGCCTTATGGCTCCCTGTATCCAGTATTTTCCAAAATATGTTTTGGATTTTAGTATGTGCATCAGTTAGAATGATTTAGGTTGTAAGCATCAACTAACACAAATAATTATGAATTAAACAAAAAACAATTTATCATATATAACAAGAAGTCGTGAGGTAAGCAACTCCTAAAATGGCTAATTAAGAAGTCAATGACATGAAGGACTCAAGTTATTTCCAATTCTGGTTTGCCGTCTCTCACACATTAATTATGTTTTTCTTCATAAGCACAAAATAACTGCAGAAAGTCCAAATGTCACAGTAGACAAAAAGCATAATCAGTGGAAGGGGGGTGTATTTTCTATTATGTGTCAGTATTTGTTAGAAAGAAAATTTCTTTTCCTGAAGCCAACCGCATACTTATCTTCAAATCCTGTTTGTCAAAATCAGGCCACGCCCATTGGCCGATGCCTTAGGGAAAAAAAAAAAAAGCTGGAAAGGTAGTAATTAGCATTTTCTACCTTGTTAATGGAAGGTAGCCTTTATTAGCATAGAATAAAGAGGAGGGGAGCACGTTTGTTGAGTATGGCCCCATAAATGTTAGCCACAATACATTTTCTGTTAAAAAGTGTTCTATGGAAAAGGCCGGGCGCCGTGGCTCATGCCTGTTAATTCCAGCACTTTGGGAGGCTGAGGCGGGTGGATTGCGAGGTCAGGAGATTGAGACACCATCTTGGCTAACATGGTGAAACCCCGTCTCTACTAAAAATACAAAAAATTAGCAGGGTGTGGTGGCGGGTGCCTGTAGTCCCGGCTACTCTGGAGGCTGAGGCAGGAGAATGGCGTGAACCCGGGAGGCGGAGCTTGCAGTGAGCAGGGATCTCGCCACTGCAGTCCGGCCTGGGCGACATAGCTAGACTCCGTCTCAAAAAAAAAAAAAAAGTAGTGTTCTATGGAGAGGAATTTGGGGCAGTGACTGCTCAAAGATAAACAGGTTTCTTTACTGCAAGATGTCTAAGAAGTCCTATTATTATAATTTATTATAGTAAACTGTGATTCTCAAAAAGGGAGATAACTTGTGTAGCAAGTAACATTTATTTGACCATGAAAATATTTTTCTCTCGGAGATACTATTGATATTTCATCATAATCAAAGACACAAACACAACAAAATACTAGTGCTCTGAAAAAAAGGAATTTGGGCAATGCTGCTCTAGGCATACTCTGCACATAACATATGTATTTTTGTATAAGCAGTCTTCAACTTCCATGAATCCACCATTCAAATATTCCACATGTTCATGTGTAATAAATGTTCTCTTTAAGCTGCCTTTCACATATAAGATTCTGACTTTTTTATATCAGTTGTCAGTCAAATATTGTGTCCAGTTTGGGAAGCCTTACTATCTTTGTTGACAATGGGAAATCATTTGAATATTTTCTTATGTTTTGAGCTTTTTAGATAAAAATGGGTGGGAAGTGGAAAAACTTAAAGCGCTTATACTAATGGAAAAATGTGTAAGTCTCACAAGTTCCACAGAGTTGGCATAAATACGGAAATGTTATATGGCAAAGGATGTGAATCTTTAGTCAGTTAACTAATTGAATAAAAGGGAAAAATACTGTAAATAATACTACTATGATGTTATTGAAAATTGTATATGAAAACTAGGTATAAGTGGAGAGTTTATCATTGCTTAGCTCTGGGAAATTTGTCCACCCTGTGGTATTAAGTCCTGTCTGTTCTCAGCCCATCTTCAACTAACAATACAGCATGATAATCCAACTCCTGCAGGCACTCCAAATCTCTTCTGTTAACCAATGAACCCCATTCAGGCAGGATATTCATTCTCCTGTGACAGCTCAGTGCATTTGGGGGTACAATATTATCAGGAATTAGCTTTCTCTTTCTTCTCTGCTCATGAAGAGGTAAATAGGCCTAATTGGCTGTTTAAACTTTTGTTCTCTTTCGTATTTGGGCTTTTTCTATCTCCTCACAACTCTCATGCTTGGGAGGAGTCCAACTATATATTGGGAACATGTTTCTCTCTTTATTTCTGTTAACTCCTTCCCTTGACTCACCTCTGATTCTTATTTCCCTCACTTTGCATCAAACTGCTGCAACTGCTACAGTTGCCTAGCAGTCTAACCTGAATCGAAACTGCTTACCCCTAATCTTGAGTACTGTTGCTTGCCACACATCCAAAGCCACAAGGCCTAATCCCACACCCAAGCTCAGATATACTGCTCTTTCTTTCCTCTTATTGATTCCTTTCTTCTTTGGATTGAGTATTTATTTAAATTATGATATCACCTACTCTGATTTATTTAAAATTTTCAGCTTAATATAATGAAAATTTAAAATAATTTGATTGCTTGTTACCTTATGGTTATATTTGGAAAAACAAGCAAATGGGCATAGCAGTGATTCCAAAATTGGTATAGAGAGGTTAGGGTACAGAGAAACACATCAGACTCACTTGAGAAGAATGGGGTTTTTCTATTTCCCCAAATTCTCGTGCACCTATAGAGGCCCTATACCACCGTGTCCTCATTCTTTCCCCCATGCATGCAAATCACTGCCTACTGAGCATGTATATTAGGCCATTCTCATGCTTTTATGAAGAAATAGCCGATACTGGGTAATTTACCAGGGAAAGAGGTTTGATTGACTCGCAGTTCTGCATGGCTGGGGAGGCCTCTGGAAACTTAGAATCATGGTGAAAAGGGAAGCAAACACGTCCTTTAACTTTCTCATATCATAAGTAGGCTTAGTCACGCTTAGCATGGTTTCTAGTTCTCTGCTTCTTCCCAGGTTTTTAATGTGGTTGATGCAGATATCTGCCTTATACAAGTGCCTCCCGGTAACCATTTCCCTCTGAAACAGGTACAACCTCATTGACTCACCCCACTGTTGCTCCAACCCTACATGAACTGTGTAGGTATGCCACAATGACCACTTGTCAGTCACAGTGTGAATGCATGGAACTTGTGTCAGCTCTCTCTAAATCCACCAATTAGAACTCTTCATGGGAACCCTGCCTGGGTAACAGCCTGAACCAACAAAGGCTTTGACCCATATGTTCCTTGCTATTTCTTTCATTTTCCTCACTCACTGGTTGAACATACATGTCCTGAACAGCTCTCCCATTTCTATTGGCTTTGTGAGGCATGCTATCCTCTTCTCTCTAGGTTTTGTAAGTAATACAATGCTTCTGTTACTTCATGCGTTTTGTTAAGTTGCGTCCTCTATGTTTCACTTTCCCAGCATACCCAAATCTATCTTATTTTCCAGTCAAGGCTCTCCTAGAGAGTGGCTATCTTGACAGGAATAAATCAAACACAAGTTAGAAAAGAGACGCAAGTCCATCTTCCAGTATAAGCAAGTTTCCGGTGAAAGGGACATACCTGGTAATTGGCCAGACACTTTAGGCATTAGGCCACGAGCCAGGATGAAGAAGTATCCAGGGACAGGAATGCTGTAACTATCCATGACTAAATCCCCTAGCATCTAGTCAAGACAAGGATAGAGTTTATAGCCACTGTCCTGAAAAAGATCTCAAGACCAAATTAGAAGAAAATATAGCAAGAACCACTGGCCAGTAACTTGTAAAAAATTCAGAATGAGTATAGACTTTACAATATTATTGAAATTTATATTACTCACTGATACTACTGTGAACAATATATGGTAGGTTATTAAAATAAGTAGAATACACCAATTCTTATTTATAATTCACTGTCTAGTTGGAAAGATGAGATAATACAAAGCTTTAAATACTAATTCATTATTTGCCTAAAGAATATAGTTATGCCTTTTTAATCTTTTTTCTCTCTATTTGTAATTAACAATAAAATACAATAAACAATGTATTTAAAGTTCTAATTTTACCTAAACCAGTTTCATGCTAATAATGAGCAAGACGAAATCAATTAGAAATGTGCTATGATTAAGCAGGTGAGGTGAGGTTTTCTTACAGTGAGGACACCATGGAAGATGAGAGAGACACACATATCCCCGGTAGAAGGCAAGCTTAGTAATGGAATTTGACCATGCAAAACTTGTTGAAATAAATCCCAATAGGACATCAAATGCCACATTATAATATCTTTACTGAAACCTCTGCCATCCCATTGCTGGATTAACTTTTCCTTCGTTGCTTCCTTTCTTCCTTCTTTTCTTCTCTCATTTCTTCCTTCATTCCTGTCTTGTTTTCTTTTTCTTCCTCCAAATTCCTGTCTTAATAAGGACTTGTTTATTTTGAGAAAAAAAGTCTCAAACATCAGGCTGTTTACAAAAATAACCCACAGTATCAACTTTAAAAAGCAAATCTTAAGACTATTACACTAATCATCTCTCTAGAGGATACGTTTGACATGCCAAAACTTATTTACAAAAACACATTGTTACATTTGTGTTGAACAACCCCACACAGCACTCTTATATAGGGTATAACACAAATACCTCTAATTCAATGATGCCTTCTGGGATTACTCAACCAAATAAGATTGCCTTTGCAGTTAAGAAAGCAACTACTGAACTCACATATGAATGGAAAGAACTGTACTGAATGCATAACAAGAGATCATGTTGGAGACTGTTGATTAAAAATTAAACTGTACATCCTTTTTATTAAGTTATAAAGAGGTACCCAAAATGAAAGCAAAAATTGCATGTTAAGACAACATAATTATTAGGAGAATCAAAGGAAGTGAGAATGGGACTAGGCACAAGGAAATATGAACTAATGAACATGGAAAGGATGAGGGTAGGAAGAACAGTGAGCATGTGCTGAAGACACTAGGAGAAAAGGTCTGATGAAAAGTTTGATCTTAGACAAGCACCTAGGTAAAGAAATAATGGGATTAGATTTCTAAATCATACTATGTGCTTGAGAGTCATCTTCAGTATTGGCACTTTCTCTGTCATCCTCTCCTTCCTTAGCCTCTTTTTCATCATATTTGATCGACTCCAGCTGATCGTCACCCATCTTCATTATTGTCATCATCCAGTAGTTTCCTCTCTTAGCTCAGTCATCTGCATACCCCTTGTAGTGTAGTTGTTTTACAACAGCCCTTGGTAGTGTTAATTCTCTAGCACTTCCAATCCTCCCTGAGAGTGGACTGAGCATGAAAGTTTAGTGAAGTCAGAATACATAGGCACTTGAAGAAGCTGTCTGTGTGCATAGGGCCTATCTGCAACAGTGAAAAGTGAACTCAGGCTGAGGACAAATAGGACAGAGCATCAGCAGGCTCTTCTCTATGTCCCTATGGTTAATTTTTATCCTCTTTTTGCCCATTCTCAGTAAATGGGTAAAGAACCAACATCTATGCATTTGATTAAGTCTCAAATCTGGGAGTCCTGCATTATTCCTCGTTTTCTCTCTAACTCTATAGGGAAGCAATAACCAAGTATTACCAGTTCTACCTCCTAAGTATTCTGAATCCATTAATATCTTTCCAACTTTGCTAGTCTACCCTAGTCTAGGCCATCATCTCTCACTGAGATTATTGCAGTCTAACTGGAATACTTACCTCTAGTATTGCCTCCTTCTGGTTTGTGTTCCACATTGCAGCTCTACAAATCTTCCTGAAATGTAAATTTGATAATATAAGTCCATGATTCTTATATGATTTTCCATTACATGGGTATATATGACTTGGTATTTATTTGTTCCTTCTGCCTCATATCATACCCCTCTCAATTTTTAACATTACATCTACTGATACTAAACTATGTTTAATTCTTTACATATGCTGTATACTTTTTCTTGTATCTTGGCCCTTGCAAATGCTAGCCATGAATTTCAGGTTTTGCCAGGGACCACCCTTTTCTGTTTAGAATTTCCCTGTCCCCCCTCACTATCAATATTAATATTTATTTAATAACTTTTTTGAGGATTTTATAAAATAATGAACTATACCTGACATGAAGAAAGGGCTCATTTAAAGTAGCTATTATTACTGTTGGTTTTGTTGTTGTTTTTGTTATTTAGTAAACCCCAGTCCAAGACATATTATTGCTTCAAATATTTGTTTTTCACTTGTTAAAGTGTGTCTGCCACACATTGGTTAACCTGAAAGTCAACAGTTAGATGGAAATTTGCATGTAGGGCATTTACTAAGTGTCCTATCAGGATCACTGCCATGAGGAAATAAAGGCAGCAGGACTGGACAGAGAGAGGAGATGGAGTGCCATGTAGTTGCAGCAAAAGTTTCACAGATCCTGTAGAGAGCTCTTGCGTTAGAGTGTTCTAAATTGGGGCAAAGATGGTGACATTGAATACTCATTGGATATGAGTTGCCCCAGGCAGGGGTGTAATCTTCAGCAATGCTGTCCCCTTCTGTGATTGGCAAACAAAGTGAAGGACACAAATGATAACTGCCGGCCACCACTTCCAGCAACTAGGAGAATGAGTTTTTAATTTCTGAAAGAGGTGGCACATTCAAGGGTCAGGGTAATGGGAATCTGGGTAGTACACAACAGCGCCCCCTATAGTGCCCAACAGATTTCAGATTTTCTCTCCCCCAAGAAGCAGCCTTCTTAAATAAATAAGATTTCACACACACACACACACACACACACACACACACACACACACACACTGAGAAGAATTTAATAAAAACTAGAGCTATTTATTATCTTGGTGCAGCACACTTTACAAAAATGTGATGTTACCTTTTGGTTTTCACTAGTCTTTATGTCTTCTAAACTTTTCTCTAATGTACTTGTTTTGTCTGTGCAGAGAAAACAGTACAGTTAAATAGTTGACTTAGAATTAAAGTTCTACTGTGTGTAACACTCCACTTAGCACTGGGGAAAGTAGGGAAGAGTGAGGTTTTCAATTAACACAGAAGAAACAAAAATTCGATTTCTTTTTTAATATTTAAAGAGGTCTATTCTGAACCAAGTATGAGTGATCATGGCCTGAGGCACAGTCTCAAGGGGTCCTGAGAACACGGGGCCAAAGTGGTTGAGTTATAGCTTGGCTTTATACGTTTTAGGGAGACATAAGACATACATTTGCAGTCTGACTCAATGCAGTCATAGTGATGGTGGCCATAGGAGAGCTTGTGTCACGCCACACCAAGCTTTCATTGGTTTTATACGTTGTAAGAAGACATAATTCATTTCCCATTGTCACTAAGATACACAATTGGAAAATGATATTATCTTCAATAAATGGTGTTGGGAAAACAATATCCATGTGTACAGTAATAAAATTGGACCTTTTCCTTTCATCATACACAAAAATTAATGCATGTGAAGTTTACATTGGTTCAGACTCAAAAGATTAAACAATTCAAAGTGAGGGCTTACAGGTCATAGGCAGATTCAAACATTTTCTGATTGGCCATTAGTTGGAAAAATCTTATTTCTGAAACTATATGTTCACAATGGAAAATTCCTATGTGCATAGAACTCATTTTAGAAACTCACCCTAAGAATATTTAAACGTACAAAATTGATAAATCTGTTCACTTCAGACCATTATAAATATGTTGCTATTGACAAAATAGAGAGGTAATAACGAGTTAGAAACTCTAATATCTATATTATCACCAAGCAGAAAAAAGCATCTCAGTTACTTGGTGTTAGATGCTGCCAGTTCCAACCTCCATCTCACTAATCAAGCTCTATAAAATTATTTTCTAATTAAAATGCTTCACATTTTGAATGATCAGAATTTCATTATTAGCATATGTGAGCCAAATAACTTTTGGCTCTGATATTTTTCAGCCTTTCTCAAGTTTAAGAATTCTAATTTTCAAATATTTAAATAATAAACAAAGCTATTGTGAGAATATTAATATTATTTCTTGTCATTAACACAGAAAAGTATTATCACACACCACCAATAATTGTAAAGCTCAAGTTCTTTACATTTTGGTGAATCTAGATGATAAAATAACGTGGGGAGCAAGATGGCAGAATAGAAGGCTCTATCAATCATCCCCTGGCAAGGAAATCAATTTGACAACTATATACACAGGAAAAAAACACCTTCATAAAACCAAAAACCAGGTGAGCACTCATAGTACCTGGTTTTAACTTCATATTACTGAAAAAGGCACTGAAAAGATGGAAAAACGGTCCTAAATTGCCTATACCACACCTCCTTTGCCCCCAGCAGTGGTGCACAGAGCATCTCTGGGGGCTTAGGAAGAGAAAACACAGGAATTGTGAGATATTAAACACAGTGTTGTTTTGTTAGAGCAGAAAGGAAAACTGGACCAAACTCAGCTGATGCCTACCCATGCAGGAAGCGTTTAAACCAGCGTTATCCAGGGGGAAATTGTCAGTTCCAGGGGTCTGAACTTGAGTTCCCTCAAGCCTCACAATTGAGGACTATAACACGCTCTGTCTCCAAGTAAGCTTGAAGGACAATCTAGGCCATAAAGACTGCAAATTTTAGATAAGTCTTAGTGCTGAACTGGGCCCAGAGACAGTAAACTAGGTTGGCAGGTGACATACTGTGATACTAGCTGGGACAGCCAAGGGGGTGCTGGCATCACTCTCCCCTCACCCCAGGCTGCACATCTCACAGCTCCAAAAGAGATCCCTTCATTTTGCATGAGGAGAGGAAAGGGGAGAGTGGAGAGGACTTGGTCTTGCATCTTGGATACCAGCTCAGCCCCAGAAGGATAGGGCACCTGTCAGAGTCATGAGGCCCCTGTTCCAGGCCCTAGCTCCCAGGTGATATTTCTAGATACACCCTAAGCCAGAAAGAAACCTACTGCCTTGAAGGAAAGGACCCAGTACTGGCAGCGATTATCACCTGCCAATTAAAGAGCCCTTGTGCCCTGAATAACCAGTAGGGATACCCAGGTAATATATTGAGGAGCTTGGGTGAGCCTGTGAGTCTTGGTGGCTCCAGGTGAGATTCAGCTCATTACCAGCTGTGGTGGCTCTGGGGTAAAACTTCTGCTTGAAGAAAGCAGAGGGAAAAGTAAAGGGGACTTTGTCTTGCAACTTAGGTACAACTAAGGCCACAGTGGGGTAGAGCACCAAATGGGCTCCTGGGGTCCCTGATTCTTGGACTTGACTCTTAGATGTCATTTCTGGACCTGTCCCGAAGTAGAGGGGAATCCACTGCCCTGAAAGGTGAGTCCCAGACCATGCGGCATTCACCACAAGCTGATTTGAGTCCTTGAAACTTAAGAGAACAATGCAAGTATTGTGGCAGTGGTTCTCATGGCATGGGGTAATGGTGGCTGCCTTTGAGAAGAAAAGGGAAGTGTGGAAAGGACTGCATATTGCAGTTTTACTGATAGCTCAGTCATAGTACAATATAATACCAAGTAGATTTCTAAGGGTTTTGACTGTAGTCCCTGAATTACAGATATCATCTCTGGACCCACCCAGGGCCTGGGGCATATCACCACCCTGAAGGGAAAGACACAGGCCTGGCTGACTTTGCCACAAGCTGACTGTTGAGTCCCAGGGCATAAAGCGAATTTAAGCAGTAGCCAGGAAGTGGTTACAGCAGGCCTTCAGTGAGGCACAATGCCATGCTGGCTTCAGACCTCACTCAATGTGGTCATAGTGGTGGCCCCAGGGTGCTTGTGTCACTCCAACCCAAGCTTTCATTGGTCAGAAAAGAGAGAGAGAGAGACAGAGAGAGAGACGCTGTGTGTTTTTGTTTTGTTTTGTTTTGTTTTTTGAGTAAGTAGGAGAAGAGAACAAGAGTCTCTGCCTGGTAATCCAGATACTTTTCCTGGAAGTTGTCCAGGATGATCAAGGTGGTACCTTTATGAGTCTGCAAGAACCATAGTGTTATAGATACCCTCTGATTTGGGAAAAGAGAGGAAGGTGAGCATCAAACTTGCTTTGTATTCCAGAATGAGGCCTGCCTCAATAAATCTCAATTCTGGAAAGAACCTCAGAGTCCCAAACTCTAGGCCAGTACCCTTGGAAAGGGTCTTATTGCCAGACTGGATCCCACAGCCCCTGGCTTCAAGCCTGCTCCAGTGCTGGATGAGATTCCACAGACCTAGCTCCAGGATTGCCCCTGTGGAACCAGGCTGGCCCAATAGCCCCACAATATAGGCCAGTCCTCACAGACCCAGCCTCCAAGCTGGACCCTAGGGACCAAGCCTACAGGCCATCACCCGTGTACCAAAACTCGAGCAGCAGACCTGCCTCTAGACCATGCCAGATGGCCAGCCCAGAATCTGTGGACTTGCTGACTAGTGAAGAGCTTTGCCAGACAAAGCCAGTCTAAAAATACTGGACTAAGTTTCTACTTCAAATGGACAGAGACCAATGCATGGCCACAAGGTTCAATAATAATCAGGGAACAATGACACCACCAATGGAACAAAATAAAGCACCAGTAAGTGATCCTAAAGAAATATATATTTATGAACCACCTGAAAAAAAAAGAAAAGAATTTCTTTAATTTCTTTTGATTTCTTTAATTATTTTCTGATGTTCAGAAAACTTCAAGAAAATACACAGAAACAATTCAACAATATCAGGAAAACAACAGAAAATCAAAATTATAAATGTAATGGGGAGGTTGAAATTATTTAAAAAATCAAACAGGAATTATGGAGCTAAAATATAATACATACAATTAAATATGCAATGGAGAGCATCAATTGCAGAATTGAGCAGGCATAAGAAAGAATTGGTGAAATTTGAGGAAAGACAGGTTATTTGAAAATATACAATCCAAGGAAGAAGCAGAAAGAAATGAAAATAAATGAAGGAAACATGGGAGAGCATTAAAAGAGTAAATGCTTGAGTTATAGGATTATATGGATTAATATTGTTATCATGGGTGTGGGTTCAATATTATGAGAGTGAATTGTTAGAAAAGAAAGTTTAACCCTCTCTTTATCACTCACTCTCATGCTTTCTTGCACTTCTGCTTTCTGTCATGGGATGAAAGAGCAAAAAGGCCAGCACCTTGATATTGAACTTCCCAGCCTCCAGAATTGTGAAAAATCAATTACTTTTTAAAATAAATTACCCAGTCTGTATTATTCTGCTATAGCAACAACAACAATAAAAATAGACTAAGATGGAGAATTCATATAGAGAAGTGGAGCTATTGCTATAACAAATACCTGAAAATATTGAAGTAGTTTTGGAACTTGATAATGGATAGAGGATAAAAGAATTAGGAGAAACAGGCTAAAAAAAAGACTAGATTGCCATAAATGGAGTATTCAAGGTAATTCTGGTGAGGGCTTAGAAAAGGAGAGTTGTAGAGAAAGTTTGAAACTTTTTAGAGATTACTTAAGTGGTCATGATCAGAATGTTGATTGAAATGAGCACATTAAAGGCCACTCTGATGAGGTCTCAGATGGAGAAGAGAAGTACTGGAAATGTGAGTAATGGACAATCTTGTTATAGAGTGGCAAATAATTTGGCTGAATTGTGTTTATGCCCTAGAGCTTTATAGAATAAAAATTTAAGAGTGATGAACTAGGATATCTGGCAGAAGAAATCTCTCAACAATATATTGAAGGAGCTGCATAGCTACTTTTAATCTCACACAGTAAGATGTAAAAGAAATAAATAACTTAGAGTTTAAATTTATAATTAAAAGAGAAACAGAATGAAAACAGTTTGAAAACTTTCAGCCTGACCCTGTGAAGAATGAAAAAATGAGTTTGAGGAAGCAAACCAAAGATGAGCCAAGTGACCATTTCCTAAAAAGAAAAATACAGATATAAGGAATAATCAAGACAATTGGAGAAGGACCACAAAGGCATTTCAGAGGTCTTTGAGACTGCCCCTTTGTTCATAGATCAAAAGCTCTAGAAGGGCAGAGTGGTTTGGGGAGAGGGTCCTCAAGTGCCCTCCATGGGATTCCTTCCCACAGGTGCCTCAGGTCTGTGCTCTCTGCATTACAGCGCAACACTTCTCAGCCACTCCAGGCTTGGCTCAAGCAGGTCCAGGTGTGTCTCAACCTACCACATGAAGGATACAAGCCATAAACTTTGGTGGTGTCCATACAGTGTTAATTCTACATGTGTGGAGAATGCAAGAGCTGTGTGAGCAAGGCTTCTTCAACCTAGATTTCAAAGAATGTTGTGAACAGCCTTGGGGTCCATGGGAGAGATTTCTCACAGTGGTAGCCACTGCAGAGAGCCCCCACTGGAGCAATACCTAGTGGAGCAGTGGGAGTAAGGAAACCTCCAAGACCATAGAACTGCAGGGCCACTAGCATGCAACTCCAGGCTGGAAAAGCTGCAGAAACAAAACTCCAACCTGTGTGAGCTTCTGGGTGGACTGAGCCCAGTAAAGTCATAGGGTGGGGTGTGCCTAAGGCCTTAGGAGCCCAATCCCTGCTTCACTGTACCCAAGATGTACAACATGGAGTCAAAGGAGAGAATTCTCCAGCTTGAAGACTTAATGTTGTTTTTCTTGTTAGTTTTCAGACTTGCTTGAAGCCTATTCTTTATTCTTGCCTTTTTCTCCTTTTGGAAATGAGAATGTCTATTTTATGTCTTTCCTGACATTGTATTTTGAAAGCATATAACTTATTTTTTAATTTAAAAAATGTTTTGGGTATGTAGTGGGTGTATATATTTAAAGGGTACCTCAGAAGTTTTGATACAAGCATACAATGTGTAATAATCACATCATGGAGAATTGCATACTCATTCCCTCAAGCACTTCTTTGTGTAACAAACAATCCAATTATGCTCTTTTAGTTATTTAAAATTGTACAATTAAATTATTGTTGACTACAGTAATCCTGTTGTGCTATAAAATAATAGGTCTTATTCATTATTTCTAATTAATTTTTTGTATACATTGACCATCCCCACTTCCCCCTTGCCCCTCGACTCACCTTCCTAGCCTCTGGTAACCATCTTTCTATTCTCTGTCTCCTTAAGTTCAATTGTTTTGATTTTTAGATCCCACAAATAACTGAGAACATGTGATGTTTGTCTTTCTGCACCTGGCTTATTTCACATAGCATAATGACCTCCAGTTCTATCCATGTTGTTGCAAATGCCTGAATCTCATTCTTAATTTAATGGCTGGATAGTACTCCATTGTATGTATGTACCACATTTTCTTTATCCATTCATCTGTTGATGGACACGTATGTTGCTTCCAAAGTTTGGCTATTGCAAACATTGCTGCAAAAAACATGGCAGTGCAGATGTCTCTTCAATATACTGATTTCCTTTCTTTTGGGTATATACCCAGAAATGGGATTGCTGGATCATATGGTAGCTCTATTTTTATTTTTTTGATGAACCTCCAAACTGTACTCCACTGTAGTTGTACTAATTTATATTCCCACCAAGGTTGTATGAGGTTTCCCTTTTCTCCACATCCTTGCCAGCATTTGTTATAAGCATGTAACTTGCTAATTTCACAGGCTCACAGATGGAGAGGAATGTGCCTCAGGATTAATTAGGCCTCAAGTATCATCCATATCTGATTTACATCAGTGTCTGTCTGGACTTTTGACTTTTAAGTTGATGGTGGAGCCAGTTAAGATTTTGTGGACTACTGAGATGGAATGAATGTATTTTGTATGTGGGAAGACATTAGTTTTGGGGAGTCAGGAGAAGAATGCTATGGTTTGCATTTCCCCTTCAAAACTCATGTTGAAATTTTATTGCCATTGTGACATTATTTAGAAGTGGGACTGATAAGAGATGATTTTGCCATGAGGGCTTCATCCTCATGAATGCAGTAATGTCCTTACCACTGGAGTGAGTTCTTTATCATGAAAATGGGTTGTTATAGAATCTAGTTTGGCCCTCTCTTGTTCACTCATTCCCACGCTCTCTTTCCCTTCAGCCTTCTACAATGGGATGATGCGGCATGAATGTTCTCACTGGATACCAGTGTAATGCTCTTGGACTTTTCAAACTTCACAACTGTGAGAAATAATTTTCTTTTCTTCATAAATTACCTAGCCTATGGTATTCTCTTATAGCCACACAAAAATGGACTAAGAAAAAACTTCAATAGATATCTATTATTTAAAGTTTTTAAGGCATATTTTCTGGTACAAATTGTGTTCTCTCTTGATGAATGTTTCATTTGAGCTTGAAAATAATGCATATTCTGATGTTGGATGGAGTATTTAAAATGTCAATTAGATTAAATTGATAAGCAGCGTATGTCCACTATATCCTTACTGCTTTTGTGTCTACTTCCTCTATCAATAACTGAATAGGTGGCGTTAAAACATTTAACTTTAAGAGTACATGTGCCCATTTCTCCTTAAAGTTTTATCAGGTTTTGCCTCATATATTTTGATGCTTCCTTAGGTAAATTTATGTTAAATATTGTTATTTTTTTGGAAAATTAATTCCTTGATCATTAACTTTACCTTCATGTTTGAAGAATAATTTATACTAAATATATTCTTTTCAGTTTGTAATTTTTTTCTTTCAAAACTAAATATTTCACTCAAAGCTTTTTTTTTTTTTTTTTTTTGCTTTCATGGTTTCTGAAATGAAGTCCAATGTCATTCTAATCCTTATTCCTCTGTAAGTAAGGTCCTTTTCTCCTCTAGTTTTCTTTAAATATTTTTAGTTGGCTTTGTTTTTCTGAAATTTAAATATGATGTGTCCAGGTGTGTTTATTGTTTGTTTAATTGCATTAGTGCTGCTTAGTGTCCTGTGAGCTTCCTTGCTGTGTGAATTGGTGTGTGGTTTTAATTTTCAAAAAGTTTTAGGCCATTATTACTTCAATAATTCTTCTATTTCATTCTTTTTTTCTTCTCCTTATTATAGTTTAATTATGTGTGATTTACACCTTTTGAAATGAACCCACTGTTTTAGGATATTCTGTTCCACTGGGATTTTTTGATTTTTTTTTCTTTCTGCATTTCGTTTTAGAAAATTTATATAGACATATATTCTAGCCCATTGACAATTTCCTCAGCTGGGTAGGTCTACAAACAAGCATGTCAAAGGCATTTGTTTTTCTGTTACAATATCTTTTACTTTTAATATCGCCATTTGATTCTTTCTTAAAGTTTCCATTTTCCTGCTTATATTACCTGTTTTTGCATGCTGTACTTTTCTTTTACAGTACTTTATTAATGACAGTTATTTTAAATGTTCTGAATATTAATTTTTAATATTTGTGTCATATCTGAGTCTTGATATAATTATTACTTTGCCACCTCAGACTGTATTTTTGCTTGCCTTTTTGTATGTTTTGTATTTATTTGTTGAAAGCCAGACATGATGTTTCAGAGAGTAGAAACAGAGCTAAATAAGCCTTTATGATGATTTATGATAATACTAGTATTATAATTTTGTTTAATGTTTCCCATAGCCATAGGTACCAGAGGTTTCAAATTCCTTTAGTGTTTTTGTTCTTGTCTGCTTTCTTTTTTTTAATTATTTTATTATTATTATACGTTAAGTTTTAGGCTTTCTTGACTGTGAAATTCTCTAACTGCCCCTCCTCATTGAGAATCTGTGTTTGGCAATGCATTCAGCTGTAATTTATTGTTGTTATACTGAAGCCTTATTGATGTGGTCATAAGATGTGGGAAAGAGGAAGTGTTCTATAACCTTCCCATTAATTCTTAGTGTTTTAATGGGCCTCTTTCTTAGGGTTGTGGTCTTCACAAGATTTTCTCCAATAGTATGTCTCTCCCCTCCTCCACAATCTCCTATTTCATTCACTGGCTGCAGCACTTAAACCTATTTTCTTTACACCTTTACTCCTGTTGGCTATGTTATTTCACTCCATGAGGTGAAACAGAAACACTAGAGGAGGCTGGAGTAGAAGGAATGTTTTTCCCTAAACTAGGATAAGGGTCTGGCAAAGTATTTTCTCCTGTGATATAAAAGTTTGTTACGGAGAAGACTCTGAGCACATTTTTCAATGATTGTTTTTCCCCTTCCTCTACCAGAGCTACCATGAGATTTTCATTAGGAACTAGTGGGACTCCTGGAGTGGAAAGCCCACAAAAATGTAGATGTTCCCCTAACCTTGTGGTATCCGTGAATTTCTTAGTCTCCAGCTAGTTCACACGCAGCTTTTAGTGATTTATCAAAATTAATAAATTTCACTTTTTACCAGTTTATGCTCCCAGCAGCTTCTTCTTCTGGTAAGTAGATCTCTACCTTGTTTCTTTCCTTGAGCTTCTGTCTTCAGATTTCAGAATGATACTTTCCCCTGGAACCTCAGTTTTCTGATGTATTCAGGAAAAGCCATTGATTTTTATTAGTCTTTCTTTTTGTTGGGTTGATGAGAATACCAACTTCCAAGTTTATGTGTCATCATTGAAAATAAAACTCCAGGGTAAAAATTTGGATGCAAGAGCTTCTGTAGCAGCTATTCATTTTCTTTCATTTGCACTTACCACGTTCTAACTTGTATTATATTCACTTTCTACATATGCTACTGTTCTTGTCACTAAGCTCCAAGTGTGCATAATTTATTTCTAATCTTCGTATTTATTTCCTATAGTATTTAGTATAATGGCTTGCTAAGACAAGTCACTTCTTTAACATTTGCTTAATGAAATAAATTTAGAAGAGCATTTTATAGCCTATAAAGTGATTTCAGATAAATAATACCATTTAAACATTAGAACTTTTGTGAAATAATTATTACCTTATTTCACTAATTAGAAAGCCGAGGTGAAGAAAAGCTAAGTGATTTGCTCAATATTACTTATTAACAGTCAGAAATTTAAAAGAAAACTTTTTTGAGTCAAAGTCCAATGTACTTTGTACTATACCTGAATTACCTTTCATTTGTATCCTAGTACTTTTTTATTCTGATAACATTACAATTGGGGAACACTGTGCTCATTATTTTGATGCCCGTTAATGGGTCTAGTCATCAACTTCATTTTTAAAATATTTTTTTAGAATGTATATAAAATTAAGTCTACACTTATTGAGGAATATTTATGAGTTTTGACCAATGCATAGAGTCACATAACCATTACTGTAATCAAAATATAGGAAAATTATATTAGTTTAAAATGATTACATCCATGCTAGCCCCTTGCAGTCAAACACTCTGCCCTCGAACTTTACTCCTGAAAAGCATTAAGAGGTACATATGCAGGTTTTTAATATAGGTAAATTACATATCATGGGGGTTTGGTATACAGATTATTTCATCACCCAGTTAATATGCATGGCACCTGATAAGTAGTTTATCGATCCTCACCGACGTCCCCCCTCCACCCTCAAGTAGGCTCCAGTGTCTATTGTTCTCTTCATTGGGTCTATGTGTACACAATGTCTAGCTAACACTTATAAGTGAGAACATAAAATATTTGGTTTTCTGTTCCTGAATTAGTTCTCTTAGGATAATGGTCTCCAGCTCCATCCATGTTGCTGCAAAACATATTATTTCACTTTTTTATGGATGCATAATATTCTATGATATATAAATATATATAACATTTTCTTTATCCAATCTATAATTGAGGAGCATCTAGGTTGATTCCAAGTGTTTATTATGGTGAATGGTGCTGTAATAAACAGATGCATATGTTTTTATGGTAGAACAACTTATATTCCTTCGGGAGTATACACAAAAATGAGATTTCTAGGTCAAATTGAGAAATCACCATAGTGCTTTCCACAGTGACTAAACTAATTTACCTTCCCACCAGCAGTGTATAAGCATTACCTTTTCCCTATGGCCTCACCAGAATCTATTATTTCCTGTTTTGATTTTTTGATAATAGCCATTCTGACTGGTGTAAGATGGTATCTCATTGTGGTTTTAATTTGCATTTCTCTGGCAGTTAGTGATATTGAGCTTTTTTCATATGCTTGCTGGATGCATGTATGTCTTCTTTAGAAAACTGTCTGTTGATATCCTTTACCCACTGTATTAGGCCATTCTATTATTGCTGTAAGGAAATACATGAGACAGGGTAATTTATATAGAAAGCTAACTTAATTGGCTTATGGTTCTACAGATTTTACAGAAAGAATGGTCTTGTCACCTGCTTGGCTTCTAGAGAGGTCTCAGGAAACATACAATTATGGAGGAAGGAGGCATGTAAGGTGACCAGAGCAGGAACAAGAGAAAGAGAGAGTGACAGAGAGGTAACAAACACTTTTAATGACCAGATCTCATGTGAACTCAGAGCAAGAATTCACTTATCAACAACAGAATGACACAAGTCATTTATGAGGGATCCACCCCTATGATCCAAACACCTCCCACCAGACCCCAACTCCAATATTGGGGATTACAATTTAACATGAGATTTGGATGGAGAAAAATATTCAAACTATTTCACCAACTTTTCAATGGAATTGTTTGATTTTTGCTTGTTAATTTATTAAAGTTTTCTATCGATTCTGGATATTAGGCTTTTGTTGTATGCAGTTTGCCAATAATTCCCCCCATTCTGTAAGTTGCCTATTTACTCTGTTGATACATTATTTTGCTGTGCAGAAGCTCTTTGATTTAATTAGGTCACAGCTGTAAATTTTTGTTTTTGTTGCAATTGCTTTTGGTGTCTTCATCAAGAAATCTTTCCCAGGGCCTGTATTCGGAATGGTATTTCCTAAGGTATTGCCATGGTTAATACTGTGTCAACTTGATTGGATTTAAGGTGCAAAGTATTGATCATGGGTGTGTCTGTGAGAGTGTTGCCAAAGGAGATTAACATTTGAGTCAGTGGGCTGGGAGAGGCAGACCCACCCTTAATCTGGGTGGGCACAAACTAATCAGCTGCCAGCACAGCTAGAATATAAAGCAAACATAAAAATGTAAAAAGAGGAGACTGGCCAGGCCTGCCAGCCTACATCTTTCTCCCATGCTAGATGCTTCCTGCCCTCGAACATTGGACTCCAAGTTCTTCAGTTTTGGGACTCGGACTGGCTTTCCTTGCTGCTCAGCTTGGGACCTTGGAATTGTGAGAATTAGTACTTAAAAAACTCATATATATGTGTGTGTGTGTGTGTGTGTGTGTGTATATATATATATGAGTATATATATCCTATTAGTTCTGTGCCTCTAGAGAACCCTGACTAATACTGATTTTGGTACCAAGAGGGATTCTAGAGGAACAGAATATTTTTTTTTTTTTTTTTTTTTTTTTTTTTTTGAGACGGAGTCTCGCTCTGTCGCCCAGGCTGGAGTGCAGTGGCGCGATCTCGGCTCACTGCAAGCTCCGCCTCCCGGGTTCACGCCATTCTCCTGCCTCAGCCTCCCGAGTAGCTGGGACCACAGGCGCCCGCCACCACGCCCGGCTAATTTTTTGTATTTTTAGTAGAGACGGGGTTTCACCGTGTTAGCCAGGATGGTCTCGATCTCCTGACCTCATGATCCGCCCGCCTCGGCCTCCCAAAGTGCTGGGATTACAGGCGTGAGCCACCGCGCCCGGCCGAGGAACAGAATATTAAGGATTGAGTTCCTTCATTGGTTTTGGGGTTTCTGTAGTTGGCTGCTTAATATGTAGACCTCAAAATGCTAAGGACTCTACTTCTAATAGTATGGAGAACACAGATAATCCTTGGCATGAACTATTTAGAGTGTTATGAAAAATAGACGCATTTGACACTCCTAATGCACTACTCGGGAGAGGCAAGGAGTTTAGTGACTCTAAACATAATAACTTTGACCATATATGGAGAACCAAGGAATATAATGAAGCTGGTTGGTTGCTCCTAAGTTCAGTAGACAAAGTGATAAAAGAAAATGATGAACTCAGGGATGCTGTCTCCCGACTTCAGAAGCAGACACTGAGCCTCAAATCTGCTAAGATTGCCCTGAGTGAGAATAGAGAAAGAGCTGAAATTGCGGTAAAACAGACACAAACTATTATCATGCAAGTGGCTGACCTGCAACGAAACGTGCATGCACAGAATCACCAGGTGTCTACTGTTAAAGTGAAGGCATTGATTGGAAAAGAATGGGACCCTGCAACTTGGAAAGGGGACATGTGAGAGGACCCTGATGAAGCTGGGGACACTGAATTTGTACACTCTGCTGAAACTTTGTTGCCAGAAGAAACAGCTTTCCCATCCTCAGTAGTGGCAACATCCTTTCCCCAACCCATGCTGCAATCAGCCTTTCCACCTTTGTCTGAGGAGATAAACCTTGCACTGCCTGAGGCAACAGTGATGGCCTCCTCTTAGGCAGTTGCCAGGCAAGATAATGTTGATTCTCCTCAGCAGCCACCCCCAACACCCCCGTTGCTTCTAGACCTATAACTGGACAAAAGTCCCGGCGAGCCCCTAGATGTGAGGTTGAGAGTGTGACCCATGATTCATAAAGCAAGTTTTTAGAGACCTACAAAGAGACTAAGACTCCCACACAATAATAGAGGGAGTCTTTAACACCCCACTGTCAATATTAGACAGATCAACGAGACAGAAAATTAACAAGGATATTCAGGATTTGAACTCAGCTCTGGACCAAGTGGACCTAATAGACATCTACAGAACTCTTCACCCCAAATCAACAGAATATACATTCTTCTCAGAACCTCATCACACTTATTCTAAAATTGACCACATAATTGAAAGTAAAACACTCCTAAGCAAATGCAAAAGAACGGAAATCATAACAAAAAGTCTCTCAGACCACAGTGCAATCAAATTAGAACTCAGGATTAAGAAACTCACTCAAAACTGCACAACTACATGGAAACTGAACAACCTGCTCCTGAATGACTACTGGGTAAATAGCAAAATGAAGGCAGAAATAAAGATGTTCTTTGAAATCAATGAGAACGAAGACACAGTGTACCAGAATCTCTGGGACACATTTAAAGCAGTGTTTAGAGGGAAATTTATAGCACTAAATGCCCACAAGAGAAAGCAGGAAAGACCTAAAATTGACACCCTAACATCAAAATTAAAAGAACTAGAGAAGCAACAGGAAACAAATTCAAAAGCTAGCAGAAGAGAAGAAATAACTAAGATCAGAGCAGAACTGAAGAAGATAGAGACACGAAAATCCCTTCAAAGATCCATGAATCCAGGAGGTGGTTTTTGGAAAGATTAACAAAATAGATAGACCGTTAGCCAGACTAATAAAGGAGAAAAAAAGAAGAATCAAATAGACCCAATAAAAGATGATATAGGGGATATCACCACTGATCCCACAGAAATACAAATTACCATCAAAGAATACTATAAACACCTCTACACAAATAAAGTAGAAAACCTAGAAGAAACGGATAAATTCCTGGACACATATACCGTCCCAAGACGAAACAAGGAAGAAGTCAAATCCCTGAATAGACCAATAACAAGTTCTGAAATTGAGGCCGTAATTAACAGCCTACCAACCAAAAAAAGTCCAGGACCAGACAGATTCACAGCCATTTTCTACCAGAGGTACAAAGAGGAGCTGGTACCATCCTTCTGAAACTATTCCAAACAATAGAAGAAGAGGGAATCCTCCCTAACTCATTTTATGAGGCCAGCATCATCCTGATACCCAAACCTGGCAGAGACACAACAAAAAAAGAAAATTTCAGGTCAATATCCCTGATGAACATCGATGCAAAAATCCTCAATAAAATACTGGCAAACCAAATCCAGCAGCACATCAAAAAGCTTATACATCACGATCAAGTTGGCTTCATCCCTGGGATGCAAACCTGGTTCAACAAATGTAAATTAATAAATGTAATCCATCACATAAACAGAACCAATAACAAAAACCACAAGATTATCTCAATAGATACAGAAAAGGCCTTCAACAGAATTCAACACCCCTTCATGCTAAAAACTCTCAATAAACTAGATATCAATGGAAAGTATCTCAAAATAATAAGAGCTATTTATGACAAACCCACAGCCAATATCATACTGAAAGGGCAAAAACTGGAAGCAGATCCCTTTGATAACTGGCACAAGGATGCCCTCTCTCACCACTCCTATTCAACATAGTATTGGAAGTTCTGGCCAGGGCAATCAGGAAAGAGAGAGAAATAAAGGGTATTCAAATAGGAAGAGAGGAAGTCAAATCGCCTCTGTTTGCAGATGACATGATTGTATATTTAGAAAACCCCATCGTCTCAGCCCAAAATCTCCTTAAGCTGATAAGCAAATTCAGCAAAGTCTCAGGATACAAAATCAATGTGCAAAAATCACAAGCATTCCTATACACCAATAACAGACAAACAGAGAGCCAAATCATGCATGAACTCCCATTCGTAATTGCTTCAAAGAGAATAAAATACCTAGGAATACAACTTACAAGGGAAGGACCTCTTAAAGGACAACTACAAACCACTGCACAAGGAAATAAGAGAGGACACAAACAAATGGAAAAAGATTTCATGCTCATGAATATGAAGAATCAATATTGTGAAAATGGCCATACTGCCCAAAGTAATTTACCAATTCAATGCTATCTCCATCAAGCTACCACTGACTTTCTTCACAGAACTGGAAAAAACTACTTTAAAGTTCATATGGACCCAAAAAAGAGCCCGCATAGCCAAGACAATTCTAAGCAAAATGTCAAATTGTCTCTGTTTGCAGATGACATGATTGTATATTTAGAAAACCCCAGGCTCTCAACTCAAAATCTTCTTAAGCTGATAAGAAACTTCAGCAAAGTCTCAGGATACCAAATCAATGTGCAAAAATCACAAGCATTCCTATACACCAATAATAAACAAACAGAGAGCCAAATCATGAGTGAACTCCCATTCACAATTGCTACAAAGAGAATAAAATGCCTATGAATACAACTTACAAGAGATGTGAAGGACCTCTTCAAGGAGAACTACAAACCACTGCTCAAGGAAATAAGAGAGGAAACAAACAAATGGAAAAGCATTCCATGCTCATGGATAGGAAGAATCAATATCGTGAGAACGGCCATACTGCCCAAAGTAATTTATAGATTAAGTGATATCCCATCAAGCTACCATTGACTTTCTTCCCAGAAATAGAAAAAAACTACCAGGGCAGTTCTCCTGGATAATATCCTGAAGAGTGTTTTCCAACTTGGCTCCATTCTCCCCCATCACTTTCAGGTACACCAGTCAAATGTAGGTTTGGTCTTTTCACATAGTCCCATATTTCTTGGAGGCTTTGCTTGTTCCTTTTCATTCTTTTTTCTCTAATCTTAGTTTCACACTTTATTTCATTAAGTTGATATTCAATCTCTGATATCATTTTTTCCGCATGATCAATTTGGCTATTGATACTTGTATATGCTTCACGAAGTTCTCATGCTGTGTTTTTCAGCTCCATCAGGTCATTTATGTTCTTCTCTAAACTTATTATTCTACTTAGAAATTTCTCTAACCTTTTTTCAAGGTTCTTAGCTTTCTTGCATTGCGTTAGAACATGCTCCTTTAGCTTGGAAGAGTGTGTTATTACCCACCTTCTGAAGCCTACTTCTGTCAATTCGTCAAACTCATTCTCCGTCCAGTTTTGTTCCCTTGCTGGTGAGGAGTTGTGATCCTTTAGAGCAGAAGAGGCGTTCTGGTTTTTGGAATTTTCAGGCTTTTTGTGCTGATTTTTCCTCATCTTTGTGGATTTATCTACCTTTGGTCTTTGATGTTGGTGACCTTCGGATGGGGTTTCTGTGACAACGTCCTTCTTGTTGATGTTGATGCTATTACTTTCTGTTTGTTAGTTTTCCTACTAAAAGTCAGGCCCCTCTGCTGCAGTTCTGCTGGAGTTTGCTGGAGGTCCACTCCAGACCCTGTTTGCCTGGGTATCACCAGCAGAGGCTGCATAACAACAAAGATTGCTGCCTGCTTCTTCCTCTGGAATTTTTGTCCCAGTGGGGTACCCACCAGATGCCAGCTGGAACTCTCCTTTATGAGGTGTCTGTTGACCCCTGCTGGGATGTGTCTCCCAGTCAGGAGGCATGTGGGTCAGGGACCCACTTGAGGAGGCAGTCTGTCCCTTAGCAGAGCTCAAGCACTGTGCTGGGAGATCCACTGCTCTCTTCAGAGCCAGCAGGCAGGAATGTTTAAGTCCGCTGAAGGAGCACCCATAGCCACCGCTTTTCCCAGGTCCTCTGTCCCAGGGAGATGGGAGTTTTATCTATAAGCCCCTGACTGGGGCTGATGCCTTTCTTTCAGAGATGCCCTGCCCAGAGAGGAGGAATCTAGAGAGGCAGTTTGGCTACAGTGGCTTTGCAGAGCTGTGGTGGCCTCTGCCCAGTTCAAAATTCCTGGTGGCTTTGTTTAAACTGTGAGGGGAAGACGGCCTACTCAAGCCTCAGTAATGGCAGACGCCCCTCCACTCACCAATCTCAAGCATCCCAAGTTGACTTCAGACTGTTGTGCTGGAAGTGAGAACTTCAAGCCAGTGGATCTTAACTTGCTGGGCTCTGTGGAGGTGGGATCCACTGAGATAGACCACTTGGCTCCCTGGCTTCAGCCCCCTTTCCAGGGAAGTGAACATTTCTGTCTTGCTGGCATTCCAGGCACCAATGGGGTATGAAAAAAACTCCTGCAGCTAGCTCGATGTCTGCCCAAATGGCCACCCAGTTTTGTGCTTGAAACCCAGGGCCCCAGTGGTGTCAGCACATGTGGGAATCTCCTGGTCTGGAGGTTGTGAAGACCATGGGAAAAGTGTAGTGTCTGGGCGGGAGTGCATTGTTCCTCAAGGCACAGTCCCTCACAGCTTCCCTTGGCTAGGGGAGGGTATTCCCTGACCACTTACATTTCCCAGGTGAGGCAATGTCCCACCCTGTTTCAGCTCGCTCTCCATAGGCTGCACCCACTGTCTAACCAGTCCCAATGAGATGAGCCAGGTACCTCAGGTGGAAATGCAGAAATCACCACCATCTGCATTGATCTTATTGGGATTTGCAGACAGGAGCTGTTTCTATTCGGCCACCTTGCCAACCAACACACTTTAAATTTCCTATGGAACCAAAAAAGAGCTCGTATAGCCAAGGCAATCCTAAGCAAAAAGAACAAAGCTGGAGGCATCATGCTACCTGACTTCAAACCATACTACAAGGCTACAGCAACCAAAACAGCATGGTACTGCTACCAAAACAGATATATAAATTAATGGAACAGAAGAGAGGCCTCAGAAATAACACCACACATCTACAACCATCTGATCTTTGACAAACCTGACAAAAACAAGCAATGGGAAAATGATTCTCAAATAAATGGAAAACACCATTTATTTAATAAATGGTGTCAGGAAAACTGGCTAACCATATGCAGAAAACTGAAACTGGAACCCTTCCTTACACCTTATACAAAAATTAACTCAAGATGAATTATAAACTTAAACATAAGACCTAAAACCATAAAAACCCTAGAAGAAAACCTAGGCAATACCATTCAGGACATAGGCATGGGCAAATATTTCATGACTAAAACACCAAAAGCAATTGCAGCAAAAGCCCAGATTGACAAATGGAATCTAACTAAACTAAAGAGCTTCTGCACAGCAAAAGAAACTATCATCAGAGTGAACAGGCATCCTACAGAATGAGAGAACATTTTTGCAATCTATCCATCTGACAAAGGGCTAATATCTAGAATCTACAAGGAATTTAAACAAATTTACAAGAAAAAATCAAACAACCCCATCAAAAACTGAGTGAAGGATATAAATAGACACTTTTCAAAAGAAGACATTTATGCAGCCAACAAACATATGAAAAAATGTTCACCATCACTGGTCATTAGGCTAATATCCAGAATCTACAAAGAACTTAAACAAATTTACAAGAAAAAATCAAACAACCCCATCAAAAAATGGGCAAAGGATATGAACAGACACTTCTCAAAAGAAGACATTTATGCAGCCAACAGACACATGAAAAAACGTTCATCATCACTGGTCATCAGAGAAATGGAAATCAAAACCACAATGAGATACCATCTCATGCCAGTTAGAATGGCAATCATTAAAAAGTCAGGAAACAACAGATGCTGGGGAGGATGTGGAGAAATAGGAACGCTTTTACACTGTTGGTGGAAGTTTAAATTAGTTCAACCATTGTGGAAGACAGTGTGGCGATTCCTCAAGGATCTAGAACCAGAAATACCGTTTTACCCAGCAGTCCCATTACTGGGTATATACCCAAAAGATTATAAATCATTCTACTATAAAGACACATGCACACGTATGTTTATTGCAGCACTATTCACAATAGCAAAGACATGGAACCAACCCAAATGCACATCAATGATAGACTGGATAAAGAAAATGCAGCACATATACACCATACCATTACTATGCAGCCATAAAAAAGGATGAGTTCATGTCCTTTGCAGGGACATGTTTGAAGCTGGAAACTATCCTTCTCAGCAAACTAACACAGAAACAGAAAACCAAACACCGCATATTCTCACTCATAAGTGGGAGTTGAACAATGAGAACACATGAACACAGGGAGGGGAACATCACACACTGGGGCCTGTCGGGTTGGGGAGTAGGGGAGGGATAGCATTAGAAGAAATACATAATGTAGATGACGGGTTGATGGATGCAGCAAACCACCATGGCACGTGTATACCTATGTAAAAACCCTGCATGTTCTACACATGTATCCCAGAACTTAAAGTATAATAATAATTTTAAAAAAACAGGCCATGGGGAAATGATGCCCTGTTCAATAAATAATGCTGAGATAACTGGCTAGAAATATGCAGAAGTTGGAAACTCGACCCTTTCCTTACACCACATACAAAAATCAACTGAAGATGGATTAAAAACTTAAATACGAAACCTAAAACTATATAAACCTTGGAACATAACCTGAGATCCCTGGCAAAGATTTCATGACTAAGAGGCCAAAAACAATTGCAACAAAAACAAAAATTGACAAATGGTACCTAATTAAATTAAAGAACATCTGCACAGCAAAATAAACTATCAACAGATTAAACAGACAATCTAGAGTATGGGAGAAAATATTTTCAAACTATGCATCTGACAGAAGTCTAATATCCAGAATCTATAAGGAACTTAAACAACTTTAATTACTTCAAAATGTTATCAGTAGGGTAAACTTTGGAATCCATAACTTCTAGTTTAAATTTCTTTTTAACAAATTATGTATAGGACTAATACTAAGTAGACTTCAAGTGACTATTTGAGAGGCTATATTGAATAAAATATATGAATTTCAGCCACAAAAAAAACAACTTTACAAACAAAACACAAACAACCCCATTAAAAAGTGGGCAAAAATCATGAACAGATATTTTTCAAAAGAAGACATACATGTGGCCAAGAAGCATGTGAAAAAAAAGATCAACATCACTAATAATTAGATAAATGCAAATTAAAAAACAACAGTGAGATACCACTTCACACTAGTCATAATGATTATTATCGAACCATCAAAAATAGCAGATGCTGGGGAGGTTGTGAAGAAAAAGGAACACATACACTGCTGGTGGAAACTTTAATTAATTCATCCATTGTAGAAAGCCATTTGGGGATTGCTCAAGTAACTTAGAACTGCTATTTGACCCAGCAATCCCATTATTGGATTCAAGGAATATAAATTGTTCTACCATTAAGACACATGCATGCTTGCTGATGTTCACAATAACGAATCCATGGAACCAACATTAATGCCCATCAACATTACACTGGATAAAGAAAATGTGGTACATATACACCATGGATTACTACACAGCCCCCCCAAAAGAATGAGATCATCTCCTTTGCTGCAACATGAATGGAGCTGGTGTTCATTATCCTAAGGAAACTAACACAGAAAGAGAAAACCAAATACTGCATGTTCTCATTTGTAAGTGGTATCTAAACATTAAGTATACATGATATTTGTAAACATTAAGTATACAAGACAAATTGACATACTAAACATTAAGTATACATAAACTCAAATAAGATATATATATCTCTTATTTGATATATATATGAATATATATATTCATATATATACCATATCTTATATGAATATATATACCATATCTTATATGAATATATATATCTTTGGGTGTATATCCAAAGGAAATGATAACAGTGTGGAAGAGACATCTGCACTCACATATTTATCATAGAACTATTCACAACAGAAAAGATACAGAATCAACCTGTGTCCACCATAAGGAGAAGATGGCCATATAAAAGCCAAGAAAAGAGGCCTCAGGAAAAAAAGTCCTATTTACATCCTGATCTTGAGCTTACAGCCTTCAGATTTATGGAAAAAAAAAGTTTCTGTTGTTTAAGCCAAAAAGGAAAAAAAAGTGTTTCAAAAAATGAACGATATCCTGAAATGGAAAAGGAAGCCTTGTGACAAATTGAGTTATTGGTCATCAAGGATTTTAACACAGATGCTGGATGACGATCTGCAGGTTGTTTAAAACATTCATGCATCAGTTATGACTCCTCTCTATGTATTAGATAAGTATCTATTACCCAATATTGCTGCCAAAAATAAAGGTACCAGATATTAAGGCCTGGAAGATTATGATTTATTTAAATAATGGAACTGCTGCACCATACTTTATCAAATTGGGTTAATTTTATGATAAAAATAATGAATTTATTATTGTTGCAATAAAATGCTACATATTATATATAATTTAGGCAATTAAGAAAATGCATAGTAAAATGCAAAAACTACATTCTATATTGTACCACCACAAAATGTGTACACCAACTGAATATCATTTCAATCAACTAATTATAAAGGTAGGAAGATAGATGGGTCAATGGATAGTTGGATGAATAGATGGATGGATAGATATAATAGATATGACATAGATAGACAAATTGACAATAAAAAATGTTTTATAAATATTGGGTCCTAACACATGCCTTATTTTAAAAAATAAGTATTCAATGTAAGTTTATGTGAATTAACAGAACAGGAAACTGTAATGAAACTGAATGAAATATTGTCTCACCATAATAAATTGTTTCCTGTAATTTATTTCTAAATATAAAAAATTTTTTAAATATAGATTTTTAAATTATGCACCTTTAACTCCTCTTTTAAACTTTATACACATCAATTGGCTCTCTGCTATAAAAGATAAAGACATTAGCACTCTTTCATGTTGTCCTACCTCCCTTCCTTCCTCTTTCTGATTTGTGATTTATGTTAATTTTATTTCACCAAAATTTATAGCATTTACGTTCTGTTCTGTTACTACAGTTTTTATATTTGTATGTATAAGCTTGTTCATTATTTTATGTTTTCACATATTCATTATTTTTACTTATTTCTTAATTTATTTAGTTTCATCATTAAGAGGTTTTTATTTCCAACAAAATTTCCAAAATGTTTCTTTTACAATTTTTCTGGGTTTAGGATTCCTAAGGCTTTCAGGTTTCAACATTTTCTTTTTGATAAATAATCCTTGCATCACATTTTATTTCTTTTAGGAAAAAAAAACTTTGTTTTTAAATTCAATTACTTACACATGGGATATATCTTAACCATTCAGTGTAAATGTTTCCTGGAATCTTTTTTGGCTCTTTCTTCATTTCATGGAAACTTATTTTATTAAATATTTAATAATTCTCCCAATCCATATGTTGAGTTCTTCAGGGAAACCATTAATTCATATAGGAGATTGTCTTTGTCTTGCATATCTATTTTTTTCTGATTACTTGATCTTTCACAGCTGTGTTCACTGTAATTATTCTAAGCCTTTCCTCCATGTTATCATGTAATTAATTTGCATTTTTCCATATATGTTCTATTCATTGAACCTTTCAGTTTATTAGTTACATTAATATATTTTGACCGTTTATTTTGTATTGTAAGTTAATCACCTCAGTTTTTCTCATCTTTTTGCTCTTTATTTTATTTAATCTGAGTCCTTGTGGAGTACAAAGCATCACTGGCAATTTTCCTTTTGTTCCTTTGGTTATGTTTTCTTCCATTATAGTTTCTTTCTCTGTCCTTTTTATTGAAAGTATCTCACTTATTTTTTTTTCTGGTATTATGCATAGGCTTAATTTCCATGCCAGACTTTTTCAGCTTGTTCGCACTTTGGAATCTCCTCGGCTCTGTCCAGACTATATTTTAAATCTCTATAGTGTAGGTGAATTTAACTTCCTTTCCAATTCTTTTGAGACTTACTTTTCCCAAAAAGCAGTTATTTTCAGCTGCCTTTAAAATGTTCTAGTCAGTTTTTCTGTATCCTGCAGGCATGGAAAGAAGAAAGAACAATACTGAGCTCACCTTTCCTTTCCCAGATTTCATTATATCTGCTGTATCAGATGCACTGCACCTCACTGTTAGGTGTATTCAATTCATTTGAGGTATCATTTAAGTTAAAATTTACTCCACTAACTATTCTTTATACTTAGAACCTTTACTTTTCTCCAATAAATTCAATCTCATTGTTAATTTCTTCAGTTTTACAGCATCCATTTCCCCTATTACCTCTTCAGAAGAGAGTCAACACAAAGATATTCAATTAGCTTGCTTTTTTACATTTTGTAATATTAGTTAAAATTCTCAGGCTTTTGTGGAATCACTATTGTGGTATCTAAAGGACAGCTTGTCATGTTCCTTTTTAATATCTGCTCTGTCACAGTATTAACTGTTTCTATTCTTGGTTGTCATTTTTGAAGTTAATTATTTTGGGCTCCACCTCTTGCCTTATTTAGTCATTGCTACCTTTTTTTTATTTTTTATTTTTTTAATTTTTGCTGTTTTCTAAATTGTTTTGCTATTGTATCTTATTAATTTTTGCTTTGTTAAAATCATTATTTTTTCATTGGGAACTATAGGAGAATTGAAGGAGAAATATATTGTCAGTTACCATTTTTCTCTTCCATTTAAAACTGAAAATCTGAAGATAGGCTTTTATGTGTCCCAAGTCTAGAATTATTAGAACATTATGAAACAACTTTATGCTCCTGTATCTGAGTAATTTTAAGATAGTTTCAATGTAAATAATACCTTACAAACTCTTTTTAAATTACAAAGGTGCATAAGCTAGGAAAGCATGAAAATTTGACTCCCAAAGAAATAGTAGAAATCTTGATCAAACAAAATTATATAAAAAGGATAAAGTGTTCCCAGTGAATATGTTTTACACATGCAAATAATGATAGAAGTCTTATTTAAAGGCACACACACAAAAAAACTAAAATGTCTTCCTTGGGAATCATTTCTATTTATTTTTCATTGTTATTATATTTTGGTCTCATCCACTAGATTACCAATATGGAAGTATTAAAATTTATTCATGTGATATTATTTTTGATCTTTGACATAGCCTATTATACAATTAATGTGAACAAATGGAAAAGATCTACCACCTAATTCTATAAGTTAGAAATTTAAAGGACATATTGGCCATGTTATTCAGCCTCCGTTCTTTCTAAATATACATTTTATTTTATTAAGAGTCATGGTTTCACTGTAAAAACAGAATACACATTGATTTGGTTTTATGGTGCAGGTTTAATTAAAATTCCATCCCTAATGGAAGAGTACAAAGTCCTATTTTAAGTTTATGATCTTCAGCTGATTTCATGCGTTATTTAAGAACCATTATTTTGGTTTTTTAACAGTCATGTGTACATTTGATCACTTTCTTCGGTGGGAAAGTGCTGTGTATGAGTTACTAGTTATTTCAATATCATCTAAAGTCTAAGTCAGTAACTTAGGCTTCTATGTAATACATAGAAGTTGCTAGTTTTTCTTAGCATCCTAGCCATTTGAATTTCAGATCTGTACATCTACCTATATTCCTTGTGATAGTACTTCGCTTTTTCATAGATAAGCTTCCTACTTACCTTTCGAAGCCTCTTTTGGGCAAAAACTTCTTTCCCCGGCACTTGATTTTCAGCTCTGCTAAATCCTTCACTTGTTCTTAAGCATTTCTGGCACAGCAGGAATCTTCTTCTCTTGGACAGCCTCCATGTTTCCAGCCAGAAAAAAGCTCAGTAAAACTCTGATAGGAAGAAAGAGAAACTTAATTGCATTTGGCATGACTCTTTTACCTAATAACAAATTGGATGTTTGTGTCTTTATCTATAGAGTACCTATTCCTAGGCAGTGTGTTAACAATTAAAAATGTATCATTTTTAAATTTCTCTCCCACATTTTTTATCAACTACTATTTTATTTGCACATACCCAGAAAACCAAGAATGAGTTAACATTGAAGTTTCACTTGGGTAAATAGAAAATCCTAAAACTATGAATATACATACATATATATATATATATATATATATATATATATTTACGTTACACTTATATATATATATATATATATGTCAGAATTAGGAACTTAGATGTTCAAAGTTATATGTGTGTATATTAAATGTAAAAGGAAAAAGAGTCCAGAAATAATCGATGATGTATAATATCATCTAAACGTTAAAATTCAGGAAAAAATACTCACCAAAGAAGAAATGAATGGAGAACTAGAACAAATGATGTTAAAAAAAAGGGCTGGGCTCTCCTAGAGGTAAAGAAATAGTGGTTATAATAAAAAGTATTACCCTATAGAACTGGATAAAATGTGATAGAAAATTGGTATTCTAAGACTTTTATCTTGAAATGATCTGTGTTCTAGTATAGTGATAAAAAAGACTATGCTTTTGTTTTATTGAGTAGATTTTTATTCTTCATACACAACAGATGCACAAAGAGAAATGTTTTCTGAACTGGCTTCCTAAATAATAAATAAATTGCTTTATTTCTTTGTTAAACAAGCCTTAATGTTTCTGCATGCTGTGTGCACTGAAGAAGTATGCAAACATTTTTATTTGATGGCAAATCCCAATTTTTCTTTAAAAGTTGGCAACATTTTGAGTCAAAAACGTGACAAAACATCAAAGTCTATTTCAAAATGCTTTACATCTTAATATAGTTGAAGTTAAAGCAGTAAGTGATTTCAGAGATTTTCCCATGAGCTGCATAGTTCTTTTCATATGTAATTATGCTCTGAGTGCATTAGATAATGCTATGGTTCCCACAGCTGTATACACATCTATAAATCATTAATGAGGCAGTTAACTGAAACAAAACTGTAAAAGATTTGCATTACCCAGCAGAATCTGGCTTTAATGACATCTAGTTATTTACAATTAATTTTGCCTTTTGGAATAATAATTGAAAGTAATTTAAGATTTTCTTGCACAGAAATTAGATGTTGTCTATTCATCAAAAGTTTTCTCCCTCTTTTTAATTTTTTTTACTATGTAATGGAGACTCTGTCAGTGACCAATATGCAGCCTGTGCTAACAATCTTAACTAGATTAAACCCTCTTTACTCTCCATTCCTGACCTTTTTGTTTTCCTCTCTCCCACCTAAAAAAGGAAGGATAGTTGAAAAAATTCAGAAATAAAAGGAAAATGTACTTTACCCTAAAATGGAATAAGAAGAATGTGTCCAGTAAAACATACTTTTGGGGTATATTTATTGATTCTTTATGGTTTTGAAGGAATATCTTTTTCATTGTTTCTTGAAAAATGAATGCTAAAAGTGAAAAGCAAATTAAAGTTTTATGAATGTATATGCTGTAAGTATAAATGCATCATAATGCTATGTAATAACTAGGACTGTATAGAAATACTTTTCAAATATAGTAAACATGCCTTGGCATTTATCAATTCATTTTACATTGCTCTATCTACATGTCATATTTTAATGATATTATTCATTTGCCACAATTTTCTATTATTATTTATTTGCAAATCATCATCTCTCAAACCACTAATATGCAATAAGCAGTCTAATGATGACAAAATGATTGTTCTTCTCCTATTTAACATCCACCAATGATGGAAACATCATGGAGAATGAGGGTGGGGGTTGGTGAGAGACTTTATTATTGCTAAGAAACACCTAAGGAAATTATCCAAATAATCAAAACTCTTACTGCAGTTTTAATATAAATTATAAGACAAATTATTTCCCCTTTTAAAGTTTGTTTTTTAATGACTATCACTATGAATGAAATCTGGCCCCATGGCGCCAGATCACTCCACTGCACTCCAGCCTGGCAACAGAGCAAGACTCCATCACAAAAAAAAAAAAAAAAAAAAAAAAAAAATTAGTAGAAAGTGCAGAGACTTCCCATATACTCCCTGTCTGTACACATGCATAATCTCCCTAGTATTAACATCTCCCACTCCATGGGTTTAAACAAATGTATAAGGGCATATATCCAACACTATGGTATCACATAGAGTAGTTTTACTGCCTTAAAATTCCTCTGTGCTCTGCCTATTCATTCCTCCCTTCCCCAACCCTTGGAAACCACTGATCTTTTTGCCATCTCTATAGTTTTGCCTCTTCTAAAATGTCATACAGTTGAAAGAATACAGTATGTATACTTTTGATATTATATTCTTTCCACTGGTTAACATGTATTTAAATTTCCTTGCTAGTTCATTTCTTTTTAATGCTGAATAATATTCCATTCTCTGGAAGTACTGCACATGTGCTTTTGCTCCAGGCTCTACTTCATGAAGGACACAAGCTAAGGCAAACAGTCTAATGATATTAAAATGTATTTAAAATACCAACACTTTTAATTGTACTTTCTTATACACAATTTAAAATACAAAAAACGGACTCTTTCTTAAAGTTAACCGGAATGGAAACTAAAGTATACTACCTCAGAACATTGTATTAATATATATACAAGATATCCAAATAAGTATTAGATAATCCATGAATGAATAAATATTAACAATTTAGGTTTCCAATTGCTCATCTGTCTGATTCATTCATTCACTCTAAAACATGTTTGAGCCTTTAATATTGCCAGGCACTTTTCCAAGTGATGTGGATTTGGCAGGTCACAAGAACATGCAAAGTTCCTGCCCTTGTGAAGTTAAAATTTTTGAAGGGCAGATAGAAATTTTTTTAGATCTTTTTGTTTTTAATTTTTGTGGGTGCATGCTATGTGTATATATTTATGGGGTACATCAGGTGTATTGGTACAGGCATGTAATGTGAAATAATCACATCCTTGAAAATGGGGTATTTATCATCTCAAGCATTTATCTTTTGTGTTACAAACAATCCTATTATATTCTTTTATGTTTAAATGTAGAACTAACTTATTACTGGCTATAGTTACCCTTTTTGCTCTCAAATACTAGGTCTTATTAAAATATTCTATTACTTTTGTACCCATTAACCATCCCCAACTGCCCCGTACCCTTCCACTATTTTTCCAAGCTTCCGATAACCATCCTTTTACCTCCATCTCCATGAGTTCAGTTGTTTTAATTTTCAGATCCCACAAATAAGTGAGAATATGCAATGTTTGTGTTTCTGTGTCTGGCTTATTTCACTTAACATAATAATCTCCATCCAGTTCCAGCCATTTTGTTGCAAATACTTGGATCTAATTTTTTATGGATGAAAAGTACTCCAGTGTGTATAACTACAAAAATTTTTGTATCCAGTCATCTGTTGATGAAGACAGGTTGCCTCCAGATTTTGGCTATTGTGAACAGTGCCGCAAAAAACATGGGAGTGTAGATACCTCTGCAATATACTGATTTACATTCTTTTGGGTATATAACCAGCAGTAGGACTGTAGGATCATATGGTAGCTCTATTTTTAGATTTTGAGGAACCTCCATATTGTTCTCCACAGTGGTTGTACTAATTTACATTCCCACCCAGAACATACAAGGGTTCCCTTTTTTCCACATCCTCACCAGCATTTGTTATTGCCTGTCGTTTAGGTGTAAGCCATTTTAACTAGGGTGAAATGATATAACATTGTAGTTTTGATTTGACTTGACTCTGGGATGGCATTTCTGGACCTGCCCTGGGCCAGAGGGGAGCCCACTACCTTGAAGGGTGAGTCCCAGGCCATGCAGCATTCACCACAAACTAACTTACAAGCCCTTAAGTCTTATGAAAACATCACTAGTAGCCTGGCAGTACTCCACATGGACATGTAGTACTGGTCAGAGCGTGAGGCTCCTCTGCCTTTGCAACGAGGAGATAAGAATGAGAAGGACTCATCATTTTTTATGGCTGCATAGTATTCCATGGTGTATATGTGCCACATTTTCTTAATCCAGTCTATCATTGTTGGACATTTGGGTTGGTTCCAAGTCTTTGCTATTGTGAATAGTGTTGCAATAAACATACGTGTGCATGTGTCTTTATAGCAGCATGATTTATAGTCCTTTGGGTATATACCCAGTAATGGGATGACTGGGGCAAATGGTATTTCTAGTTCTAGATCCCTGAGGAATCGCCACACTGACTTCCACAATGGTTGAACTAGTTTACAGTCCCACCAACAGTGTAAAAGTGTTCCTATTTCTCCACATCCTCTCCAGCATGGAATACTATGCAGCCATAAAAAATGATGAGTTCATGTCCCTTGTAGGGACATGGATGAAATTGGAAATCATCATTCTCAGTAAACTATCACAAGAACAAAAAAACAAACACCACATGTTCTCACTCATAGGTGGGAATTGAACAGTGAGAACACATGGACACAGGAAGGGGAACATCACACTCTGGGGACTGTTGTGGGGTAGGGGGAGGGGGGAGGGATAGCATTGGGAGATATACCTAATGCTAGATGACGAGTTAGTGGGTGCAGTGCACCAGCATGTCACATGTATACATATGTAACTAACCTGCACATTGTTCACATGTACCCTAAAACTTAAAGTATAAAAATAAACCATTTCTTAATTCAAAAAAAAAAAAAAAAGAATGAGAAGGACTGCACCTTGTGGTTTGAGTGCCAGCTCAGCTTCAGTACAAGAGAGCAGAAGGTAGATATTTAAGGTTTTTTTACTCTTGTCTGTGAATCCTGGCTGTCATCTCTGGACTCACCTGGGGAATGGGGCATCTTGCTGCCCCAAAGGGAAGGACACAGGACTGGTGAGCTTTACCATCTGCTGATTGTAGAGCCCTAGACCCTTGAATGAACAAAGGCAGTATCCAGGTAGTGGTACAGAAGACCTTGGGTGAGATCTAGTGCTGTGCTGACCTCAGGTCTGACTCAGCACAGTCATCATGGTGGTGGCCACAGGAGTATATGTGTAACTCAAAACCCCAGCTTTAGGTGGCTCAGAACAGAAAGAAGACTTCATTTGTTTGCAAGAAAGTAGGGCAAGAACAAGAGTTATCTGCCTGATCCTCCAGATAATTTGTCTGGATCTTGTCCAAGACCATCAAGACAGTACTTCTATGAGTCTGCAGGAACCACAAAGATATGGGGTATGGGTTGCCCCCTAAAGCAGACACGGTTTAGATCCCAATGCCCAAGGTTTTTTAAATATCTAGAAAATCTTCCCAAAAAAGGCAAGTTAAATAAAAAGCCCAGACAATGAAGACTACAATAAATACCCAACTCTTCAATGTCCAGACATTGAAGAACATCTCTAGCATCAATAACATCCAGTAAAACATGACCGCACCAAATGTAGTCAACAAGGCACCAGGGACCAATCCTGGAGAAACACAGATATGTGACCTTTCAGACAGACAATTATAAATAAGTGTTTTGAGAAAACTTTAAGATAGCATAAAGAAGTAGTTTAGAATTTTACCAGATAAATTTAACAAAGAGATTGAAGTAATTTACAAAAAACAAACAGAAATTATGCTGCTAAAAAAAATGCAAGTGATACACTGAAGAAAACATCAGAATTTGAATAGTAGAATTGACCAAGGAGAAGAAAGAATTAGTGACCATGAAGACAAGCTATTTGAAAATACCTAGTTAAGGATTGAATATATATATATATATATATATATATATATATATATATATATATATATATATATATATATATATATCACTAAAGCATAGTTACAGGATCTAGAAAATATCCTCAAAAAGGAAAATCTAGAAGTTAGTGATCTTAAAGAACAAATAGAGAAAAGAGATAGTGGTAGAAAACTTATTCAAAGGGATAATAACAGAGAACTGCTAAAACATAGAGAAAGAAAGCAATATCCAGGTAAAAGAAAGTTACAGAATGACACGCAGTTTTAACAGAAAGAAGACTATCTCAAGGCATTTAATAATCAAACTCCCAAATATTAAGGATTAAGAAAGGAACCTAAAAGCAGCAAGAGAAAAGAAACAAATAACACACTACTGAGCTCCAACACGTCTGAAAGCAGACTTCTCATTCGTAATATTACAAGAAAAAAGAAAGTGAAATGACATGAAGTGCTGGAGAAAAAAAATTACCCTAGTATAGTATATCCAGTGAAATATCCTTCAAACATGAAGGGGAAATAATGACTTGCCTAGACAAAAAGCTGAGGGATTTCATCAACACCAGACCTGTCCCACAAGAAATGTTAAAGGGAGTACTTCAATCAGAAAGAAAAAGACTTTAGTGAGCAATAAGAGTCATCTGAAGGTACAAAACTCACTGTTAATAATAAGTACACAGAAAAACACAGAATATTATAACACTATAACTTTGGTGTGTAATCTACTCTCATCTTAAGTAAAAAAAAAGACTAAATGATGAACCAAACATAAATAATAAGTACAACCATATTTTCAAAACATAGCCAATAAAATATGATTTCAGTAGTAACAACAAACAGTTACAAAGTGGGGGAACAAAGTTAAGAAGTAGTCTTTATTAGTTTCTTTATGTTCATTTGTTTGTTTATGCAAACAGTGGTAACATGTTATCAGCTCAAAATAATGGGTTATAAGATAGTATTTGCAAGCTCATGATACCTAAAACAAAACAAAACAAAACATACACTAGGTTTAAAAAAAAAAAAACAAGAAATTAATTATATAACCAGAGAAAATCTCTTTGACAAAAAAAAAAGGAGAGAAAAAGGAAGAGAAGACCACCACACAACACTAAAATACATAACAAAATGACAAGAGTATATTATTACTTGTCAATAATAACATTGAATAAAAATGGACTAAACTCTTCGAGCAAAACACATAAAGTAGCGGAAGATATTTAAAAAAAAAAAAGACCCTATGATCTGTAACCTACAAGAAAGATAATTCATCTGTAAAGGCACATATGGACTAAAAATAAATTGTTGGAACGATATATTCCATGCCAATGGAAACCAAAAAAGAACAAGAGTAGCTACATTTATATCAGACAAATTAGGATTTCAAGACAAAAACTATAAGAAGTGACAAAGATGGTCACAATATAATCATAAAGGATCAATTCAGCAATAGGATATAATGGTTTTAAATTTCTATGCACCTAACACTGGGCCACCCAGAAATATGAAGTAAATATAATTAGAGGTAAAGAGAGTTAGTCCCCGATACAATAACAGCTAAAGATTTCAGCACCTTGCTTTCAGCACTGGACACATATTCCTGACACAATATCAACAAAGAAACATTAGACTTAATCTGCACTGTAGACAAAATGGATCTAAGTAATATTTACAGAACATTTCATCCAATGGTTGCAGAATACACATTCTTTTCCTCATCACATGGATTGTTCTCAAGGATAGACCATATGTTAAGTCACAAAACAAATCTTAAAATCTTCAAAAATGGAAATAATATCATGCACCTTCTCTCATCATAATGAAATAAAACTAGAAATCAATAACAAGAGGAATTTTGGAAGCTATATAAACATATGGAAATTAAATAATATGCTCTTGAATTTCCATGGTGTCAGTGAAGAAATTAAGAAGGAAATTTAAAAATTTCTAGAAACAAGTGATAATGGAAACACAACATACCCAAAGCCATGGAATACAGGAAAAGCAGTACTAAGAAGGAAGTTTATAACAACAACTGCCTACATTAAAAAAGAAGAAAAACTTCAAATAAATAACTTAATAATGTATCTTAAAGAGCTAGAGAAAACAAATTAAATCCAAAATTAGTAGAATAAAAAAGGTAATAAAGGTTATAGCAGAAATAAATGAATCTAAAATGAAAAATACAAAAGTTCAATGAAATAAAAAGTCATTTTCTTGAAAATTTGTAATTAGCAAATTTTTAGTGGGGATTATTAGGAACAAAAGGAGAGAAGATCCAAATGTAATCAGAGATGAAAAATGACTCATTAGAACTAATACCGCAGAAATTCAAAAAATTATTAGGGGCTACTGTGAGCAATTATATAGCAATAAATTGGAAAATCTAGAAGAAGTGGGCAAATTTGTAGACACATACAACATACCAAGATTATCAAGATGGAGACTGTAAATTGTCTCCCAGTTAAAAACAAAACAAAGAAACAAACAAAAAAACCGCAGGGCCCAATGGCTTTACTGATGAATTCTACCAAACATTTAAAAAAGAACTAATATCAATCTTACTCAAACTATTCTTAAAAGTAGAGGAGGAGGAAATACTTTCAGTCTCATTCTACAAAGATAGTACTACCATGATACCATAACCAGACAAGGATGCATCAATAAAAAGAAAACTACAGGGAAATATCTCTGGTGAATGTTGATACAAAAATTCTCAAGAAAATACTAAGAAACTAAATTCAACAATACATTAAAACTGTGATTCATCATGACTAAGTAGGATTTATCTCAAAAATGCAAAAATGGTTCAACATATGCAAATCAATCAATGTGACACATCATATTGACAGAATGTATAATTAAAACCATATGATCATTTCAATTGATGCTGAAAAAGCATTTGATAAAATTCAACATTTTTCTGTGATAAATACCCTAAAAAAACTGAAGCACATGCCTCAATATAATAAAAGCCATACAAGACAGACCCACAGCTCGTATCACACTGAATGAGGAGAACCTGTAAGCCTCTAAGATCTGGCAGATGACAGTGCCCACTTCCAAAACTGTTATTTAACATGGTATGAAATTCCTAGCTAGAGCAATCAGAAAACAGAAAGAAATGAAGGGCATCCAAACTAGAATGGAGGAAATTAAAGTAGCCTTGTTTGCAGATGATATGATCTAATATTTGGAGAAATTTAAAGACTACATGAAAAAACCTTTAGAAATGACAAACAAATTCAGTAAAGTTGCAGGATAAAAAATCAACACAAAAAATCAGTGACATTTCTATATGTCAACAGTGAACAATCAGAAAAAGAAATAAAACAGTAATCCCATTTACAATAACCACACATACATTAAATACCTAGAAAGTAACTTCTATACACCAACAGCAGTCATGTGGACAATCAAATCAATAACTCAACCCTTTTAACAATACCTGCAAAAAATAAAAGTTTTAGCAATATACCTAACCAAGGAGGCGAAAGATCTCTATGAGGAAAACTATAAAACACTGCTGAAAGAAATCATAGATGACACAAACAAATGGAAACACATCTCATGCTTATGGATGAGTAGAATTAATATTGTGAAGATGACCACACTGTCAAAAGCAATCTACAAATTCAACACAATTCCCATCAAAATACCACAATCATTCTACACAGAATTAGAAAAAACAATTCTAAAATTCATGGAAGTAAAAAAGAGCCCACATAGACAAAGAAAAACTAAGCAAAAAGAACAAATCGGGAGGCATCACACTACCCGACCTCAAACTATACTATAAGGCCATAGTCACCAAAACAGCATGGTACTGGTATAAGTGAAACAGAATAGAGAACCCAGAAATAAACCCAAATACTTACAGCCAACTAATCTTCGACAAAACAAACAAAAACATAAAGTGGGGTAAGGACACCCAATTCAACAAATGGTGCTGGAATAATTGGCTAGTAACATGTATGATAGTGAAATTGGATCCTCATCTCACACCTTATACAAAAATCAACACAAGATGGATTAAGGACTTAAATCTAAGACCTGAAACTTTAAAAATTATAGAAGATAACATTGGAAAAACCCTTCTAGACATTGGCTTAGGCAAGGATTTCATGACCAAGAACCTAAAAGCAAATGCAATAAAAACAAAGATAAATAGCTGGGACTTAATTAAAATAAAGAGCTTTTGCATGGCAAAAGGAACAGTCAGCAGAGTAAACAGACAACCCACAGAGTGAGAGAAAATCACCACAATCTACGCATCTGACAAAGAACTAATATCCAGAATCTACAATGAAGTCAAACAAATCAGCAAGAAAAAAAATGCCATCAAAAAGTACGCTAAGGACATGAATAGACAATTCTCAAAAGATATGCGAATAGCCAACAAACATATAAAAAATTCTCAACATCACTAATGATCAGGGAAACATAAATCAAAACCACAATGCGATACCACCTTACTCCTGCAAGAATGGCCATGATCAAAAATAAAAAAAAACACTAGATGTTGGCCAGGATGCAGTGATCAGGAACACTTCTACACTGCTGATGGGAATGTAAACTAGTACAACTACTATGGAAAACAGTGTGGAGATTCCTTAAAGAACTAAAAGTAGAACAACAATTTGATCCAGCAATCCCACTACTGGGTATCTATCCAGAGGAAAGTAAGTCATTATATGAAAAAGATACTTGCACACGCATGTTTATATCAGTACAGTTTGCAATTGCAAAATCGTGGAACCAACCCAAGTGCCCATCAGTCAATGAGTGGATAAAGAAACTGTGGTATATATATACAATGGAATACTACTTAGCCATTAAAAGGAATGAATTAATGGCATTCACAGTGACCGGGATGAGACTGGAGACTATTATTCTAAGTGAAGTAACTCAGGAATGGAAGATGAAACATTGTATGTTCTCACTGATATGTGGGAGCTGAGCTATGAGGACGCAAAGGCATAAAAATGATACAATGAACTTTTGGACTTGAGATGAAGGGTGGGAGGGGGACGAGGGATAAAAGACTACAAATAGGGTGCAGTGTATACTGCTCGGGATATGAGTACACCAAAATCTCAAAATCACCCCTAAAATATTTACTTATGTAACCAGACATCACCTGTACCCCCAATAACCTATGGAAAAATAAAGAAAAAAAATAGGATAGACAATTTCAAAATAAAAACAAAAAAAAGAAGCAAGACCCAATGGTATGTTGTCTACAAGAGATCCCTCTCAGATGCAATGACACCTGTAGCTTCAAAGTAAAGAAATGGAGAAAAATCTACTAAGCAAACAGAAACATTAAAAAAGCAGGGGTTGCTATTGTAATTCAGATAAAACAGACTTAAAACCAAGGGAGACAAAAAAGGACAAAGAAGGACATTACATAATGGTAAAGGGTTCAATTTAACAAGAATGCCTAAGTATCCTAAATATATATGCACCCAAAACAGGAGCATCCAGATTTACTGAGCATGTTCTTGGTGACCTACAAAGAGACTGAGATAACCACAAAATAATAGTGGGTGTCTTCAACACTCTACAGACAGTATCAGAGAGATCATTGAGGCAGAAATATAACAAAGATATTTGGAACCTGAACTTGACACTTGAACAAATGGACCTAATAGGCATCTACAGAACACTCCACCACCACGAATAGAATATACATTCTTCTCATCTGCACATGGCACATTCTTGAAAATCTACCACACAATTGCACATAAGACAATCCTTTACAAAATCAAAAAAACCCTAAATCATACCAACCACACTCTTGGACTACAGTGCAATAAAAATAGAAATCAGTTCTAAGACAATAATTCAAAATCATATAATTACACTGAAATTAAACCACCTGCTCCTGGATGACTTTTGGGAAAATAATGAAATTAAGGCAGAAATCAAAAAATTATTTGAAACTAATGAGAACCATGATGCAACATGCCAGAATCTCTGGGGCCCAGCTAAGGCAATATTAATAGTGAAGTTAATAGTACTAAATGACCACATCAAAAAGTTAGAAAGATGTCAAACTAACAACCTAACATCACAACTAGAGGAACTAGAAAAGCAAGAGAAAACCAACCTCAAAGTTAGCAGAAGGCAAGAAATAATCAAAATCAAACCTGAACTGAAAAAAAAAATTGAGATGCAAAAAGCCATACAAAAGATTAATGAATTCAGGAGTTATTTTTTTTTTGAAAAAAAAATAAATGGCTAGACTGATAATGAAAAAAAGAGAGAAAATTCAAATAAACACAATGAGAAATGACAAAGGGACATTACAATTGACCCCAAAGTAGTTAAAAAAAATGCTCTGAGACTATTACAAATACATCTATGCACACAAAGTAGAAAATAGAGAAGAAATTGATAAATTGCTGGTCACATGCAACCTCACAAGACTGACCAGGAATAAATTGAATCCCTTAACAGACCAATAATAAACTCTGAAACTGAAGCATTAGTAAAAAGCCTGACAAAAACAGCTCAGGACTAGACGGATTCACAGTTGAATTCTACCTCACATATAAAGAAGAGCTGGTACCATCCCTAATGAAAATATTCCGGAAAACGTAGGAGAGACTCATTTTTGACTCATTCTACGAGGCCAGCAAGATCCTAATACAAAAACCTGGCAGAGACACAACAAAAAAAGAAAACTTCAGGCCGATATCCTTGATAAATATAGATACAAAAATTCTCCACAAAATACTAGCAAACTGAATCTCACAGCACATCAAAAAGTTAATCCACCATGATGAAGTAGGCTTTATCTATGGGATTTAAGGTTGGTTCAACATATGAAAATTAATAAATGTGATTCATCACATAAACAAGACTAAAAATAAAAACCACATGATTATCTCAATAGATGCAGAAAAGGCTGTTGATAAAATTTACATTCTTTTATGTTAAAAACCCTCAACAAACTAGGCAATGAAGGAAAATTAAATAATAAGAGCTATCTATGACAAACGCACAGCAACATCATACTGAATGGGCAAAAGCTGAAATCATTCCCCATGGAAAGCAGAACAAGACAAGGATGTGCAAAGCAGTTCATAGAATTCAATACTATTCCTATTGAACTACCAATAACATTCTTCACTGAATTAGAAAAAAGCAATTTAAAAATTTATATGGAATCACAAGAGTCCAAATAGCCAAAGAAATTCTAAGCAAAAAGAACAAAGCAGGAGGCAACATATTATCCAACTTCAAACTATACTGCAATGCTACAGTAATGAAAACAACATGCTACTGGTACAAAAACAGACACATAGACAAATGGAACAGAATAGAGTTGAGAAATAATGCCGCACATGTACAACCATCTGATCTTTGACAAAGAACTTAAAACTGAATTATCATTCAACCCAGCAATCCCGTTGTTTTATATATATCCAAATGAATATAAATTATTCTACTATAAAGACACATATATATTCATCACATCACTATTCACAATATAAAATACATTGAATAAATCTAAATCCCCATCAACAGTAGACTGAATAAAGAAAATGTAGTACATAGACACCATGGAATACTACACAGCCATAAAAGGAACAAGATCATGCTTTTTGTAGCTACATCAATGAAGCTAGAGGTCATTATCTTAAGTGAACTAAAGCAGGAAAAGAACACCAAATACCTCATGTACTCACTTATAAGTGTGATCTAAACATTGAGTACACACACAAATGAGGAATGTGTTGCCTCCAAAATCCAAATTGGCCCACTAGGCATTTGTGCCTCTTTCTTGGTTGTAGGAAGGGCCAAATGCAGCAACTTATCCTTCATCTTAGAATGAACATCTTGACAGGCCCCACACCACTGGACCTCTAGAAATTTTACTGAGGTATAAGTTCCCTGAATTCTAGTCAGATTTATTTCCCATCCTCTGGCATGCAAATGTCTCACTAATAAGTCTAGTGTACTTGTTACTTCTTGCTCACGGGATCCAATCAGCATAATGTCATCAATGTAATGGATCATTGTGATATCGTGAGGAAGCCAAAAATAATAAAGATCTCTCCCAATAAGATTATGACACAAAGCCAGAGAGTTCATATACCCCTGAGGTAGGAGAGTAAACGTATATTTCTGGTCTCACCAGCTGAAGGCAAATTGCTTCTGGTGGGCCTTATGGACAGAAATGGAGAAAAAGCCATTTGCCATTTCAGTAGCTGTGTATCGGGTACCAGGATATGTGTTAATTTGCTCAATCAAACTACATCTGGTACAGCAGCTATAATTGGAGTCACTATTTGGTTAAGCTTACAGTAATCCACTGTCATTCTCCAAGATCCATCTGTGTCCTGCACAGGACAAATGGGAGAGTTAAGTGGGGATGTGGTGGGAATCACCACCCCCATGTCTTTCAAGTCCTTGATGGTGGCACTAATGTCTGTGATCCCTCCAATGCAATATTGTTTTTAATTTACTATTTTCTTAGGTAGAGGCAACTCTAATGGCTTCCATTTGTCTTTTTGCATCATAATAGTCCTCACCCTACCAGTCAGGGAGCCAATGTGAGGGTTCTTCCAGCTGCTAAGTATGTCCATGCCAATTATGCATTCTGGCACAGGGAAATGACCACAGGATGAGTCCAGAGACCCACTGGACTCACTGTAAGTCAGATCTGAGCTAAAACTCCATTAATTTCCTGACCTCCATAAGCTCCTACTTTAACTGGAGGACCAAAATGATGTTTTGGGTCCCCTGGAATCAACGTCAGCTCAATGCCAGTTTTCAGTAGTCCCCAAAATGTCTGATCATTTCCATTTCCCCAATGCACAGTTACCCTAGTAAAAGGCTGGAGGTATCCTTGGGAAAGGATGAGAGAAGGTTCACTGCATAAATTACTGGTAGTGTAGCGGGGTCCTTCCTCAAGGGGACCCAGCTTCCCCTTCAGTCAAGGCATCCTGGGTGTGTAAACTGGCTCAAGTTTGGAAATTAATTGAGGAGCCATGATTCTCTGTTTTTATAACTCAAATTAGTCTTTTGTCCATTTACCAAGAAGGGTTTTTCTTATATAACTTATGTAGAAATGCAGTAGGCTTCCTATCAATTTCACTTCTAGGAACACTGTGATTCATTAGCCAATGCCAGAGCTCTGCATGAGTCAGATTATTCTGATTGCCAATTTGCCTCTGGTGTCCATTAGGGTAGCTATGCCTACCTTGCCTTTGATGATTGAGTGCCGCCACTTGGCCCCTACCACCTCGGGATCCAATTATTTCCATTGTATTTAAATTTTGTAGTTGAGTGACTGGGATTCCCACTGTTAGATCTGACATACAGAGAAGAACATAAAGGGAAGAATTACAGGGCTCTTCCAAGATGCAGGTGCTGTCCTCACAAATCTATTTCACAAGGCATTGGTCAAGGGTATATCTTCTGGACCCTCACAGCTGGGGTGAGTAGATCTGAAGTGATGAATCCATTCCACCTTACCAATCTCTCTAAGCATTTGAATATTTTCCTCTACATTAAACCAAGAAAGATCAAGCGTTTTCAGCTCGCTCACAGTGGGCCATCATTTAATCCATATTTTAGCTAACCAAGCAAGTAAACTATTAGAACCTTTTTTAACTCCCCAAGCTGCAATATTAAATGCAGAGTCCCTACTTAGCAGGCCCAAATCAATAAATTCAGCCTGATCCAACTCTATGCACCTTCCACCATTATCCTAAACCCTTAATATCCATTCCCATGACTGTTCTCCAGATTGCTGTTTATATACATTAGAAAACTCAAGAAGTCCTTTTCCAGTGTAGCCCACTTCCTCATGGGTCACATTCTCAAACTCACCTACAGGGGCCTGCTGGAACTTTTGTCTAGTTATAGATCTAGAAGCAAACAGGGTTGTTGGGGGTGTGTCCTGAGGAGAATCAACGTTATCTTGCCTGGCAACTGCCTCAGGGGAGGCCATCACTGTTGCCTCAGGCAATGCAGGGTTTATCTTCTCAGACAAAGGTGGAAAGGCTGATCGCAGCATGGGTCTGGGAAAGGATGTTGCCACTACTGGGGATGGAGAAGCTGTTTCTTCTGACAAAAAAGGTTCATCGGAGTTTACAAACTCAGTGTCCCCAGCTTCATCAGGGTCCTCCCACATGTCCCCATTCCAATCAATGCCCTCACTTTAACAGTAGACACATGATGAGCTGTGCATGCACCTTTCATTGCGGGTCAGCCACTCGCATGATAAGAGCTTCTGTCTGTTTTTCCGCAATTTCAGCTATTTCTCTATAGGAGACAAGACTCTCAAGGCAATCTTAGCAGATTTGAGGCTCAGTATCTGCTTCTGAAGCCAGGAGATAGAATCCCTAAGTTCATAATTTTCTTCCATCACTTTTACCTCTGAACTTAGGAGCAACCAAGTTCCAACCATTATGCTCCTTCTTTCTCCACATACGGTCAAAGATATAATGTATAGAGTCACTAAACTCCTTGTCTCTCACAAGCTATGAATCAGGAGTTTCAAATGCATTTATTTTGCATAACTCTCTAAACACTTCATGCCAAGGACTACCAGTGTTCGCCACGCTATTAGAAGTAAAGTCCTTAGCATTTTGGGGACTAATTATATTAAGCACCCAACTCCAGAAACCCCCAAACCAATGAAAGAACTCCATCCTTAATATTCTGTTCCTCTTGAATCACTATTTGTACCAAGATTTGTATTAGTTGGGGTTCCCTAGAGGGACAGAGCTAATGGAATATATATATATATATTATATATGTGTGTATATATATATATTCCATATATATATTATATATGGGTATATATATATATTCCATATATATATTATATATGTGTGTATATAAATTCCATATATATATATTCCATATATAAATTCCATATATATATATTCCATATATATATATTCCATATATATGTTCCATATATATATTCCATATATATCTTCCATATATATATCTTCCATATATATATCTTCCATATATATATCTTCCATATATATATCTTCCATATATATATCTTCCATATATATATCTTCCATATATATATCTTCCATATATATATCTTCCATATATATATCTTCCATATATATATATTCCATATATATATATTCCATATATATATTCCATATATATATTCCATATATACATATTCCATATATATATTCCATATATATACATTCCATATATATATATTCCATATATATACATTCCATATATATATATTCCATATATATACATTCCATATATATATATTCCATATATATACATTCCATATATATATATTCCATATATATACATTCCATATATATATCCATATATATGTTCCATATATATATGTTCCATGTATGTATATGTTCCATATATATATATATTCCATGTATGTATATGTTCCATATATATATTCCATGTATGTATATGTTCCATATATATATATTCCATGTATGTATATATTCCATATATATATATATTCCATGTATGTATATATTCCATGTATATATATTCCATGTATGTATATATTCCATGTATAGATGTGCCATGTATAGATGTGCCATGTATAGATGTGCCATGTATAGATGTTCCATGTGTAGATGTTCCATGTAGATGTTCCATGTATAGATGTTCCATGTAGATGTTCCATGTATAGATGTTCCATGTAGATGTTCCATATAGATGTTCCATGTAGATGTTCCATATATATATTTATATATGGGATTTTATTAATATTAACTCATGTGATCACAAGGTCCCACAATAGGCCGTCTGTAGGCTAAGAAGCAAGAAGAACCAGTCCAAGTTCCAATACTGAAGAACTTGGAGTCCTGTGTTTGAGGGCAGGAAGCATCCTGCATGGGAGAAAGATGTAGGCTGGGAAGCTAGGCCAGTCTCTCTTTTCACATTTTTCTTCCGGCTTATATTCTCGCTGTGCTGGTAGCTGATTAGGTTGTGCCCACCCAGATTATAGGTGTATCTGCCTTTCCCAGACCATTGACTCAAATGTTAATCTCTTTTGGCAACCTCCTCACAGATGTACCCAGGATTAATACTTGGTACCCTTCCATCTAATCAAGTTGACACTCAGTATTAACCACCACAGCATCATATATATCATATTCTCAAACTACAATGAAATTATGTGTGAGAAACAGAGCAACATGGCAAAATAGAAAGCTCCTCCAATCATCCCCCTCACAAGTACACTAAGTTAACAACTATCTACACAGAAGAACATTCATAAGTACCAAAAATTAGGTGAGCACTCATAGTACCAGGTTTTAACTTTATGTTATGGAACAAGGCACTGAAGAGATAGAAAAAACATCTCTGAATGGCCAATGCCATCCCTCCCTTACCCCGGGCATCAAGGCATAGTGAAGAGAGCATCTCTGAGCACCGGGGGAGGGAGAAAACAGCAATTGTGAGGTATTAAACTCAGTGCTGTTCTGTTAAAAAGGAAAGGAAGGCTGGGCACTGTGGCTCACGCCTGTAATCCCAGCACTTTGTTAGGCCGAGGCAGATGGATCACGAGGTCAGGAGATCGAGACCATCCTGTCTAAAATGGTGAAACCCCGTCTTTACTAAAAATACAAAAAATTAGCTGGTCGTGGTGGCGGGCGCCTGTAGTCCCAGTGACTCAGGGGGCTGAGGCAGGAAAATGGTGTGAACCTAGGTGGCCGAGGTTGCAGTGAGCTGAGATCGCGCCACTGCACTCCAGCCTGGGTGACAGAGCAAGACTCCAACTCAAAAAAAAAAAAAAAAGGACAGGAAAACAAGGCCAACTCATCTGATCCTCACCCACAGGGTAGCATTTAAACCAGCCCTAGTCGCAGGGGAATTGACAGTCCCAGTATTCAAAACATGAGTTCCAGTAAGCCTCACCACTGAGGGCCAAAGTGCTCTCAGTCTCTAAGTAAACTTTAGAGGTAGTCTAGGACATAAAGACTTCAGCTATTAAGTGAGTCCTATGGCAGAACTAATCTCGGGGACAGTGGACTGGGGGTGCACTTGACATACTGAGACACCAGTGGGACAGCCAAGGGAACACTGTCATCATCCCTCCCCTAAGCCCAGGCTGCAGAGCTCACGGCTTGAAAAAAGACGTCTTCCTTCTGCTTGAGGAGAGGAGAAGGCAGAGTGGGGAGAACTTTTTCTTGCATATTGGATACCAGATCAGTCACAGCAGGGTAGGGCACAGGTTAGAGTAATGAGGTTCTCGTCTCAGGCCCTAGCTCCCAGATGACATTTCTGGGCACACCCTGGGCAAGGAAGAAACCTATTGCCTTGAAGAAAAGGACCCAGTTCTGACAGCATTCATCACCTGCTTACTAAAGAGCACTTCAGCCCTGAATAATCACCAATGATATGCAGGTACTACAATGAAAGACTTAGTGAGCCTCTGAGACTTGCTGGCTTCAGGTGAGACTCAGCATATTACCAAATGTGTGGCCTCCAGGCAAAACTGCTGCTTGAGAAAAGCATAGGGAAAAGTAAGGGAGACTTTATCTTACACCTTAGATACCACCACTGCCACAGGAGAATAGAGCACAAAGCTGGCTGATGGGGTCCCCAATTCTAGTACTTGACTCTTGGACTGAATTTCTTGACCTGCACTGGGTTAGTGGAAAGCGTACTAGCCTGAAGGGTGAGTCCCAGGTTAGGCAACATTCACCACAGGCTGACTTAAGTGACCCTGGGCCTTAAGGGAACATCAGTGATAGTCCGGCAGTACTCCTCCTGCCCAAGGGTGGTGGTGGCTACAGAATGAGGCTCCTCTGCCTTTAGAAAGGGTAAGGAAGAGTGGGCAGTGGGCAGGACTGTATCTGGTGGTTTGAGTGCCAGCTCAACCACAATACAATAGAATACTAGGTAGACTTCTAAGGTTTTTGACTTCAGTCCCTGACTCCAGGAGAGCACTTCTGCACCCACCTGGAACCTGGGGTATCTCGCTACCCTGAAGGGAAGGCCATGGGCCTGGTAGCTTTGCCACCTGCTGATTGTAGGGCCACAGGATCTTGAGTGGACGTAGATAATAGCCAAAAAGTGGTGACAACAGGTCTTGGGCAAGACCCAGAGCTGTGCTTGCTTCAATCTCACCCAGTGCATTCACTGTAGTGGTGGCCACAGGGGTGCTTGTGTCACTCCACTTCAACTTTAAATGGCTCAGAACAGAGAGAGACATGCTGTATGTTTGGGATAAAGTAAGGGATGAGAACAAGAATTGCTACCTGTTAATCCAGAAAATTCTTTCAAATCTTGTCCAAGACCATCAAGGCTGTACTTCTGGGTGTGCAAGAATGAGAGTGTTACTGGGCTTGCAGTGCCCCCAAATCATAAACAGCTTAGGTTACAATACTCAAGTCCTTTTAAATATCTAGAATTTCTTCCCAAAGAAGACAACTGCAAATAATCCCAGAGACTAAAGACTACAATAAATACTTAACTCTTCAGTGCCCAGACACCAAACAACATCTACTAGCATGAAAACCATCCAGGAAAAATATGACATTACTAAATAAACAAAACATGGCACCAGGGACCAATCCTGGAGAAACAGAAATATGTGACCTTTCAGAGAGAGAATTCAAAATAGGTGTTGAGAAAAGTCAAAGAGATTAAAGATAACACCGAGAAGGAATTCAGAATTCTATCAGATAAATTTAACAATGAGATAGAAAGACCCTACATTGATAATATCCCCAGGCTTACAAATCATAGAACCAATAAAATTGGAAAAAGCTTTAAGAATATTCAAATTGTGAGAGAATGCAGAAACCAAATGTATATGGGCATAAGAGAACTGAAAAGTATAATAACAGTAAACCCTGTGAAGCTCCAAAAATTATATTTTTTCTTCAGAAGATAAATCACTCTAATCAAAACTATTTTGCACATGGATAGAACACTGGGAGTAAGAGGAATAAAGTTTATAATATTGGGTAGGTGAATGATCCCAAAAGAAACATATCACATTAAATACTTGTATTAGTCAAGATTCTCTAGAGAAGCAAAACCAATAGAAGATGTCTATCTATAGTTTATATAGGGTATTAACTAACATTATTATGGAGGCTTACAAGTCCCACAATCTGCTGTCTGCAAGCTGAAGGCCTTGATGGTGTAGTTTACAGCCCTGAGACTGAAGAGCCAGTTACAGATTCCAATCTGAGTCTGAAGCCCTGAGAAGCAGGAGTACCAGGAGCAGGAGAAAATTGAAGTCTCAGCTCCAGCATTCAGGCAGAGAGTGAGAGAATCCTCCTTTATTAGTCCATTTTCATACTGCTATGAAGAAATACCTGAGACTGGGTAATTATGAAGGAAAAAAAGGTTTAATGGACTCACAGTTCCACATAGCTGCGGAGGACTCACAATCATGGTGGAAGGTGAAGGAGGAGCAAAGGCACATCTTACATGACAGTAGGCAAGAGAACATGTGCAGGGGAATTTCCCTTTATAAAACAATTAGTTCTTGTGAGACTTCTTCACTATCACAACAACAGCACAAGAAAAACCCGCCCTCATGATTCAGTTACTTCCCACCAGGTCCCTCCCATGACATGTGGGGATTATGGGAGCTGCAATTCAAGATAAGATTTGGATGGAGACACAGCCAAACTCTACGATCTCCCTTTCTTCACCTTTTTGTAGGATTTAGGTCCTCAATGGACTGGATGAGGCCCACTTACATTGGGGAAGGCAATAGGTTTTACTTAGTCTATTGTTTCCAATGCTCATCTCTTTTGGAAATAACCTCATAAACTGTTTTGTATTGTTTTGTTTGATGGTCAGTCAGGTGTGGCCACAAAAGAAGACACAAGAGAGGCTGAAGGAAACAAACTTTGTTACACTCAGAGGTCCTAGAGACAGGTGGCATAGCACACCACATGAAACCACATTGTAAAGACATTAGGGTGGTCAGGAGGCAGTAGACAGGAGTGTTAGTCGGAGCCCTTATTGGAGTTTCTGTGGGAAATGCAAGGCAGTGGAGGATGACCAGTTTAAGATTGGCTAGTTTGAACAATTTTTGCAGGCTTTAGCCTATAGACATGATCCCTAGTTGTCTGGTATCTGGTCTTAGGATACTTAAGGCTGAAGAATATTGCCTCCTGAGGTATGTGGGCCAGATAGAAAAGTTATGGCTCTGGTTAATTTGCATGTCAAAGGGATGCCCCTATCTGTGACCTTTGCTATCTCTGAGTATTGTCTATCCCTGAAATAGTCTCTCCCCAGCCAGAAAGGTTTTTTTATGGTGTCAAAACTTCGTGATATACAGGAAATAAAAATATACAACACACAGAAACACCCAGAATTAATTTGTTTTACCAGATATCTGGGCATCTCATGATCCAATCAAGTTGTCATATAAAATTAACTATCACAAGTCCACCCCTTGTGATCTTGACAATAATATGCATCTCTATAAAACATACTTAATTTCCAAATAAAGACAATACTGGGTCAAAATATCTCCTAATATGATACAGCAATACTGTGAATAACTGAAAACACACTAACCCCTTTCCTAAAGGAAGAGTAATTTTGTCCCAAAGTTCTTAAGTTATTTTTATTCATTTTCTTCATATCCTGTAACTTAAATACTATAAGGTAAAATTAACAATACTTAGATGGTATGATATGAAGTCAATATATCTTATGTTACATGATACAGAAATAAGAGAGGAAAGAAAATAGTTATTTGATATATTTTACACACACACACACACACACACACACACACACACACACGTTCATAACCAAATAAGGAGGAATACTCATGACAGTTACAGTCCTCAGTTGGTAACTAGTCACATGATCACAGCTGATATTTTTAATTATTCTCTTCTCTTACCCAGTCTATATGTTATTTACCTTTATCGAGCACCACAACTGGTCATTATTCTTTACCTAATGTTGTAACCCAGGCCTTCATTCCTGAAGGTTTTGTGCCAATCTGCCTGGATTGGGTTGTTTTAGTTTTCCATTGACTCTAATCACAGGGCATGGTAATAGTAAGAGATGCCCTAAGAAATATCCTGTATTCCAGACATACTTTTCCTTATCTCCATTGTGGAGTAAGAGTCCAATCTTCTTTTGCTAGTCAAGATCCATCAACACAGCCAGCATAGTAACTCCCTTCTTTGCCTGTTAATTCAGAGGCAAAAGAGGAGTTCAAAGTGGCTGGATGGCAATCTTAACTTTCCAGTACAATGAAATTATTGTTGTGTCTCCTGGTGGGAATATTTCTCCTTTTGGAGCTAAGAGCTCTAGGAAAGCAGGGCATAAAGTTACAGTAACAGGAAGCAAATATTTGCTAGTGGGTCACTAGGGGTAATGGAGAGTTCTACCACTTTTATTTCTACCTCTTGATTCCTGGACCAATGATCCTGCTATAAAAGAAACAGCACCATATATTGGACACTGATTAAGCACATCTACAGCTTTTTGGAGAGCATTGTGCCAGACCTGCAAGACATTGCCACCTAGCTGATGCTGTAATTGATCCTTCAAACCGTCATTCCACTGTTCTATCAAGTCAGCTGCTTCAGAATGGTGAGAAACATCGTAACTAATGGATTCTATAAACATTGGCCCACTGTTATATATTTTTTTTGCTGTGAAATGTTTTTATCAGAAGCAATATTGTGTGGAATACCATGACAGTGGAAAAGCCATTCTGTGATTCCAAAGATGGTAGTTTTGGCAGAAATATCGCATGCAAGGAAAGCAAGTCATATCTAGAATAATTATCTGTTCTAGTAAGGACAAAATGCTTTCTCTTCCTAATAGAAGCAGTTTACTGCATTTAATCTGCCACCAGGTAGCTGGCTGATCACCCTGAGAAATAGTGCCACATCAGGGCCATATATGGAACTCAATGTTGCTCTCTGCTGCTGGCAAATTGGGCACTCAGCGGTGGCTGTAGCTAGGTCAGTCAAGATGAGTGAAGTCCATATTGCTGAGCCCATGCATAATCTTAATCTCTGTTACCCTGGAGAATTAGTTTATGAGCCCATTGGGCAATAACAGAGGTGGCTGGGGAAAGAGTCTGACTAGTATCAATTTGTAACCACAGAATGGTTCATCGTTTTCACTCGATTATTAAAATCTTCCTCTGCTGAGGTCACATTTTGGTGATCATTCACATATGACACAAATATCTTCACATTTTTGCCCATTCAGAGAGGTCTATCCACATACTTCTTCCTCAGATTTCTTTGCTATCAATTTTCCAATCATCATCTCTCTAAATTCCTGACCATCCAGCCAAACCATTGGCTTTGTGCATGAATCAGTATATAATCACATATCTGGCCATTTCTTCTTCCACACAAAGTTCACAGCAGGTATGCTGTCCAAAATTCTGCCTACTGAGAGGATTTTCCTTCACCACTGTCCAACAAGTATGTCCCAGGGAGTGGCTATAGTGAAGTTGTCCACTTTTGGGTGGTGCCTACATATCATGTCAAATCATCTATAAACCAGGCTTAAGTATTTTCTTCCTCTGCCACTTGATTATAAGGAACTCCTCATGAGGTTATAGGTGCAGGCCAGGGGAAAAAAGGTAATGTAACAAGGGTGGGGATCATGGACATTTGGACTGCTGCTTTGCATAATTTACATATGTTGTCAGGGCCTGCTAGGACCTGAACATATATATATCTCTTCCATTTGGTGATGGAATTTTGCTATGTGTGCCCAACTTTATGACATTGTGGGTCAGGTTACTACCAATTCAAGAGGGACAACTCAGGTTGCATGGTAACTTAGTGGCTTCTGGTCAAGCATTCAGTTTCTATTAAGGCTCAGTAGCAGGCCAAAAGCTGTTTCTCAAAACAAGAGTAGTTATCTGTGGAGGATGGCAGAACTTTGCTCCAAAATCCTGCATCTGTACTATAGTCTACGTATAGGGACTTGCCAAATGCTCCAGTGAGCATCCCTACTTGCCATTGACACTTCTAGAATCATTGGATCAGCTGAACCATATGATGCAAATGTCAGAGTAGCTTTCACAGCAGCCTGGACTTGTTACAGAGCCTTCTTTTTTTTCTTGGACCCATTCAAAACTAGCAGCATTTAGGTCACTCTGTAAATGGACCAGAGTGACATACCCAAATGAAGAAATATGTTGCCTCAAAATCCAGAGGTGTCCTAGTCATAGTGCATTCCTTATGGTTGTAGGAGAGGTCAGATACAACAACTTATTCTTCACCTTAAAAGGAATATCTTAACAGGACCCCTAGAAATTTCACTGAAGTAGAAGAAGGCTGAAGTTTTGTTGTATTTATTTATCTCCCTCTGGAACAATGCCTTACCAGTAAGTCTGGAGTAGCTACTTCTCACTAAGTCCAATCAGAATAATGCCATCAATGTAAGGGACCAGTGTGATCAGTGTGATATGGAAAGGAAAAGAGATCAAGATTCTTGCAAACTAAGTTATGACACAGGGCTAGAGAGTTGATATACTCTTAAGGTACAACAATGAAGCTGTATTTCTGGCCTTGTCCGCTGAAAACAAATTGCTTTTCATGGGCTTTATAGACAGGAATGAAGAAAAAGTCCTTTGCCAGAGCAATAGCTGCATACTAGGTGCCAGGGGCTGTATTACTTTGCACAAACAATGAAATAACATCTGTTATAGTAGATGCAATTGGAGTCACCACCTGGTTAGGCTTATAATAATTCACTGCAATTCTCCAAGATTCAACTTTCTTCTGCACAGGGTAGATAGGTGAGCTGAATGAAAATATGGTGAGAACCACCATCCCTACATCTTTCAAGTCCTTGGTGGTGGCATTAATCTCTGCAATAATTCTAGGAAGGCAGTATTGCTTTTGGTTTACTATTTTCCTAATTAAAGGCAGTTTAAGTGGCTTTCACTTGGCCTTTCCCACCATAAGAGCCCTCAGTCTATATAAGTCAGGAAACCAAGATGATTATTCTTCCTGCTGCTGAGTATCTCTATTCCAATTATCAATTCTGGAACTGGGGAAATAACCACAGAATGGCTTCTGGAAAACAACGGGCCCACTGTGAGACTGATCTGAGTTAAAACTCCATTGATAAACTGACCTCCATAAATTCCTACTCTTTCTGGCAGGCCACAGTGACTTTTTAGGTCTCTTGAAATTAATGACAATTCATAACTAGTGACCAGTAGTCCCTGAGATATCTGAATATTTTCTTTCCTCCAATGCAGTTACTCTAAAAAAGCCTGTAGGCCCCATTGGGTTTGTCTGAGAGAAAAATTAACAGCAAAAATTTGTGGTTAGATACTTGAGTCCTTCCTCACAGGGACCTGACCTCTCCTTTATTTATTTTTTATTTTATTTTATTTTATTTTATTTTTATTTTTATTATACTTTAAGTTTTAGGGTACATGTGCACATTGTGCAGGTTAGTTACATATGTATACATGAGCCATGCTGGTGCGCTGCACCCACTAACTCGTCATCTAGCATTAGGTATATCTCCCAATGCTATCCCTCCCCACTCCCCCCACCCCACAACAGTCCCCAGAGTGTGATGTTCCCCTTCCTGTGTCCGTGTGATCTCCTGACCTCTCCTTTATTCAAGAGCTTTGGGTCTGTAAACTGGCTCAAGTCTGAGAATCGATTGAGAGATGATACATTTCCATTTTTCATGATTTAGGTTAGTCTTTTATTTAATTGACTTAGAGTTTTCTTGTTTATATGGCTCAAATAAGAATTTAGTAGCCTTCATATTTATTTCACTTCTATAAATCCCATAATCAATGAGCCAATGCCATAGTTCTGTATGAGTCTATTCATAATCGTTGTTTTGACTCTGCTGTCTTTTATAGTAACCATGCCCGCCTATTTTTGGCAGTTGAGTGCTGCCACTCCAAAATCCAATTAATCCCATTGCATTTAGGGTTTCCAATTAAGTGGCAGCAGTTTCCATTTTTGTAACAATGGAAACTGCTGCCTACAGAGAAAAGCAATCATGCAGCTCTTTAAGGATGCTGGGTCCCCCTTATCAACTTATTTCTTGAAGTATTGGTGAAACTTATGTCTTCTGGACCCTCCTATTGTGGATGAGTAGGTCTTAATGACAAATACACTGTAACATTTCAATCTCCATAAGCCTTTGATTTCCTTTCATTAAAGGAAGTCAGGGCTAGCATTTCCTAATCACTCATTGTGGGCACCTTTGGGTCCATGTTTCACCTGATCGAGCAAACTGTTAGAGCACTTTCTAACTCTCCTAGCTACAACATTAAATCCAGAATCTCAGCTTAATGATCCCATACCAATAAATTCAGCCTGATTCAACTTAGTGTTCCTTTCATTATTTCATACCCTTAGAATTTACTCCCACACATATTCCCCAGATTTCTGTATGTATAAATTAGAAAAATTCAAGTAGTTATTTTGGAGTGTGGCACACCTCTTCACTGGTCATACTATATACCTCACCTTTAGGGACCCGCTGGTACTTGAGTCTAGTTATAGATCTAGAAGCAAAAAATGTAGTGGGGTGGATCCTGAAAGGAAGCAGCATTGTCTTGCATGAAAATTGCCTCAGTGAAGCCCATTACAGTTTTCTCAGTCAATGCAGAGTTAATTTCCTCAAACCGAGATGGGTGTAAAATCTTATACTACTGGGAATGGAGAGATTTGGGGATATTACTGCCACTGAGTGGGGAGTCTGCTTCCATTGGAGGCTGTGAGATCTCTTCCACTAGCAAAGAAAACCCATCAGTTTTGTAGGAACTCAATGTCTGTTTTCACTCTATGGATTTGCCTATTCTGGACATTTTGTATAAATGGGATCAAACTAAATATGGCCACTAGTGTTTGTTTTATTTTACCTAGCATAATGTTCCCAAGGTTTATTCATGTGGTAGCATGCATCAGTAATTCATTATTTTTAATGGTTGAATAATTTTTATTTGCATGAATATACCATATGTTGTTCATCTATTCATCTGTTGATGAACACTTGGGTTGTTTCCGTATTTTGGGTACTGTGAATAATGTGGCGATGAATATTGTCAAACAAGTCTGTCTTTGAGTCTCTAGTTTCATTTCTTTTGAGTATACAGATAAGAATAGAATTGGTAGGTCATATTGTAAGTCTATGTTTAGCTGTCTGAAGAAACTCCAAACCACTTTCCAGTGTGACTGCACCATTTTACATTCCAGTAAGCAACATACAAGGGTAATAATTTCTATACATCCTTGCCAACATTTGTTATTTTCTGTTGTTTATAATTATAGCTATCCTACTGGTGTGAAGTAGTATGTCACTGTGGTTTTGATTTGCAGTTTCTTAGTGACTGATGTTGAGCATCATTTCATGTTCCTATCAGTCATTTGTATATATTTTTGGAAGAAATGTCCATCTATGTATTTTGCCCATTTTGTAACTGAAACATTTGTCTTTTGTTGTTGAATTGCAGCAGATCTCTGTATATTCAGGATATTAAACCATAATCAGCTATATGATTTGCAAATATTTTCTCTCATTCTGTGAACAGTCTTTTTACCTTCTTGATAATGTCCCTTTATACACAAAAGTGCTTACTTTTGATAAAGTCACATTTCTATTTTCTCCTGTTTATATGCTTTTGTTGTCTGTTATTGGCTAAAATTCCACATCTCCTCCACCAAATCATATGTTGCAGTCCCAACACCTATTACCTCAGAATATGACTCTTTTTGAAGATAGGTTCTTTAACAAGGTAATTAAGGTAAAATGAGGTCATTAGGTTGGGACCTAATCCAGTAAAACTGGTGTCCTTATAAGAAGAGGAGATTATGATCTGGACACACTCAGTCAAAATACCATGTGAAGACACAGGGAGAAGACACTCATTTACAAGCCAAGGAGAGAGGCCTCAGAAGAAACCAACCCTGATGACACTTTGATTTCAGACTTCTATTCTGAAGAATTGTGAAAAATAAATTTATATTATTTAAGCCACCCAATCTGTGGTACTGTGTTACAATTGCCCTAGCAAACCAATATGGTGTCATGCTGAAAAATCCATTGCCAAATCTAAGGTCATAAATATCTTACTCCTAAGTTTTCTTACAGGAATTTTATGATTTTAGCTCTTATGTTTATGCCTTTATTATACATTTTGAGATAATTTTTGTATATCGTGTGAGGTAGGGGTCCAACTTCATTCCTTTGCATGTGGAAATCCCAGCTACTCAGAAGGCTGAGATAGGTGGATCACTTGATCTTAGGAGTTTGAGACTTTGGTGACCTATGATTGTACTACTGCACCACAGCCAAGGCCACAGAATGAGACCCTATATCTACAAAAAAAAATTGTCAATTGGACATAGATTCATACATTTATTACATGACTTTCAGTTATATTCTGTTGGTCTATATGCCTATTATTTTGCCAGGTCTACACTGTTTTTATTAATACAACTTTGTAGTAAGTTTTGAAATTTAAATGAGGGAATCATGCAACATTGTTCTTCTTTATTGTTTTGGTTATTTGGGGCTCCTTGTAATTACACATAAATTGGAGAATTAGATTGTCTAGATTTGCAAAAAAACTATTGGTGAAACTTTGATAGGGATTGTGTTGAATCTAGAAATTGTTTGAGTAGTGTTAACATCTCAACAAAATTAAGTATTTCTACTGTGAATTTGTGCTTTTTTCCATATATTTAGGTCTTGTTGAATTTAGTTCAGCAGTGTTTTCTAGTTTTCATTGTACCATCTTTCACCTTCTTGCTTAAATGTATATCTAGGTATTTTTATGTTTTAGAGGTTATTATAAATGAAATTGCTTTTTCATATTCCTTTTGGATTGTGCATTACTGGTGTTTAGAAACACAAGTGATTTACACCCTAAAATTTGGCTGAATTTGTTAATTAGCTTTAGTAATTCTCTTGTGAATGCTTTGGTATTTTTCCGTATATAAGATCTTGTCTTCAGCAACTGGAGATAGTTTTACTTCTTTCTTTTCAGGTTGGATGGCTTTTATTTCTTTTTCTTGTCTAATGTATCTGGCTAGAACTTACAGTGCAATGCTGAGTAACAGTAGTTAAAGTGAGCATTCCTGTCTTGTTCCTGATTTTGGAAGGGAATTGTTTCCTTTTCTTCCCCATTGAGTATGATGATAGCTGTGTGTTTTTCATAAATGCTCTTTAATATGTTGAAGAAGTATACTTTCATTCCTAGTGTTCTGGGTATTTATAATATGAAAAGGTGTTGCACTTTGTCAAATAAATGCCTTTTCTTCATCAATTGAGTTAATCTTTTTTTTCTCATTGATATATTATGTGTAATATTACATTGATTTTCTTATGATTAAAAATATTTCATTGGGGCTGGGTGCAGTGGCTCATGCCTGTAATCCCAGCACTTTGGGAGGCTGAGGCGGGCAGATCACAAGGTCAGGAGATTGAGACCATCCTGGCTAACATGGTGAAATGCTGTCTCTACTAAAAATAAAAAAAATTAGCCGGGCGTGGTGGCAGGGGCCTGTAGTCCCAGCTACTCAGGAGGCTGAGGCAGGAGAATGGCTTGAACCCGGGAGGCGGAGGTTGCAGTGAGCCGAGATCGCGCCACAGCACTCCAGCCTGGGCGACAGAGCGAGACTCCGTCTCAAAAAAAAAAAAAATTTCATTGATTTTCTTACCAGTGCTTGCATGTCTGGAATGAACCCCACTTTGCCTTGGTTTCTAATTCTTTAAATATGCTATTGAAATCTGTTTGCTAGTATTTTACTGAGGCTTTTTGCATGTATATATATTACTAAAGGATATTGGTGTGCAATTATCTTTTCTTGTGAAGGCTTTATCTATCTTTGGTGTCAGGGTAATGCTCGTCTCCTAGAATGGGTTAGGTAATATCTTGGAAGAGTTTTAGAAGTATTCTTTTAAAATGTTTGATAGAATGCAACATTGAGACCTTCTGGTCCTGGGCTTTACTTAATTAAGAGATTTTGGTTACTGGCTTAATTTCTCTACATAGTAGAGCACCGTTGATATTTTTTAATTTTTCTGAAATCACTTTAAGTAATTTTTGTGCTTCTAAGAATTTCTCTGTTTCATCTGAATTATCTAATTTGTTGGTATACAATTGTTTATAGAATACTCATGATGCTTTTCGTTACTGTAAGGTTGGTAGTAATGTACTCATTTATGATTAAGAACTTAGTTATTTGTTTCCTCACTTTCATTTCTGTCAGTCCAACTAAAGGCTTGTCAATTTTGTTGGTTTTTTAAAGAACCAACTTTGATTTCACTTATTCTCTTTCTTGTTTTTCTATTATTTCTTTTACAATCTCTACCCTAACTTTTTATTTCCTTCCCTCTGCTAACTTTCAGTTTAGTTTGCTCATTTTTGTTCTAGTTGTTCTAAGTGTACAGCTATATATTTCCCGCTGAGGACTATTTTCACTGCACTCCATAAGTTATGGGATGTTGTGTTTTTGTTTCCATTTATCTTTAAATATTTTTCTCTTTTATTTCGTTGAGCAGTGGTTTGTAGTTCTCCTTGAAGAGGTCCTTCACATCCCTTGTAAGTTGGATTCCTAGGTATTTTATTCTCTTTGCAGCAATTGTGAATGGGAGTTCACTCATGATTTGGTTCTCTGTCTGTTATTGGTGTATAAGAATGTTTGTGATTTTTGCACATTGATTTTGTATCCTGAGACTTTGCTGAAGTTGCTTATCAGCTTAAGGAGATTTCGGGCTGAGACGATGGGGTTTTCTAAATATACAATCATGTCATCTGCAAATAGGGACAATTTGACTTCCTCTTTTCCTAATTGAATACACTTTATTTCTTTCTCCTGCCTGATTGCCCTGGCCGGAACTTCCAACACTATGTTGAATAGGAGTGGTGAGAGAGGGCATCCCTGTCTTGTGCCAGTTTTCAAAGGGAATTCTTCCAGTTTTTGCCCATTCAGTATGACATTGGCTGTGGGTTTGTCATAGATAGCTCTTATTATTTTGAGATACTTCCCATCAATACCTAATTTGTTGAGAGTTTTTAGCATGAAGGGCTGTTGAATTTTGTCAAAGGCCTTTTCTGCATCTATTGAGATAATCATGTGGTTTTTGTCTTTGGTTCTGTTTACATGCTGGATTACGTTTACTGATTTGTGCATGTTGAACCAGCCTTGCATCCCAGGGATGAAGCCCACTTGATCATGGTGGATAAGCTTTTTGATGTGCTGCTGGATTTGGTTTGCCAGTATTTTATTGAGGATTTTTGCATCAATGTTCATCAGGGATATTGGTCTAAAATTCTCTTTTTTCGTTGTGACTCTGCCAGGCTTTGGTATCAGGATGATGCTGGCCTCATAAAATGAGTTAGGGAGGATTCCCTCTTTTTCTATTGATTGAAATAGTTTCAGAAGGAATGGTACCAGCTCCTCCTTGTACCTCTTGTAGAGTTCGGCTGTGAATCCATCTGGTCCTGGACTTTTTTTTGATTGGTAAGCTATTAATTATTGCCTCAATTTCAGAGCCATTATTGGTCTATTAAGAGATTCAACTTCTTCCTGGTTTAGTCTTGGGAGGGTGTATTTGCCAAGGAATTGATCCATTTCCTCTAGATTTTCCAGTTTATTTGCATGGAGGTGTTCATAGTATTCTCTGATGGTAGTTTGTATTTCTGTGGGATCGGTGGTGATATCCTGTTTATCATTTTTTACTGCGTCTATTTGATTCTTCTCTCTTTTCTTCTTTATTAGTCTTGCTAGTGGTCTATCAATTTTGTTGATCCTTTCAAAAAACCAGCTCCTGGATTCAGACAAATGGAAGAACATTCCATGCTCATGGATAGGAAGAATCAATATCGTGAAAATGGCCGTACTGCCCAAGGTAATTTATAGATTCAATGCCATCCCCATCAAGCTACCAATGACTTTCTTCACCGAATTGGAAAAAACTACTTTAAAGTTCATATGGAATCAAAAAAGAGTCCACATTGCCAAGTCAATCCTAAGCCAAAAGAACAAAGCTGGGGGCATCATGCTACCTGACTTCAAACTATACTGCAAGGCTACAGTAACCAAAACAGCATGGTACTGGTACCAAAACAGAGCTATAGACCAATGGAACAGAACAGAGCCCTCAGAAATAATGCCACATATCTACAACTATCTGATCTTTGACAAACCTGAGAAAAACAAGAAATGGGGAAAGGATTCCGTATGTCATAAATGGTGCTGGGAAAACTGGCTAGCCATATGTGGAAATCTGAAACTGGATCCCTTCCTTACACCTTATACACAAATTAATTCAAGGTGGATTGAAGACTTAAATGTTAGACCTAAAACCATAAAAACCCTAGAAGAAAACCTAGGCAATACCATTCAGGACATAGGAATGTGCAAGGACTTCATGTCTAAAACACCAAAAGCAATGTCAACAAAAGCCAAAATTGACAAATGGGATCTGATTAAACTAAAGAGCTTCTGCACAGCAAAAGAAACTACCATGAGAGTGAAGAGGCAACCTACAGAATGGGAGAAAATTTTTGCAATCTACTCATCTGACAAAGGGCTAATATCCAGAATCTACAATGAACTCAAACAAATTTACAAGAAAAAAACAAACAACCCAGTCTACAAGTGAGCAAATGATATGAACAGACACTTCTCAAAAGAAGACATGTATGCAGCCAAAAGACACATGAAAAAATGCTCATCATCACTGGCCATCAGAGAAATGCAAATCAAAACCACAATGAGATACCATCTCACACCAGTTAGAATGGCAATCATTAAAAAGTCAGGGAACAACAGGTGCTGGAGAGGATGTGGAGAAATAGGAACACTTTTACACTATTGGTGGGACTGTAAACTAGTTCAACCATTGTGGAAGTCGGTGTGGCGATTCCTCAGGGATCTAGAACTAGAAATACCATTTGACCCAGCCATCCCATTACTGGGTATATACCCAAAGGATTATAAATCATGCTGCTATAAAGACACATGCACACGTATGTTTATTGTGGCACTCTTCACAATAGCAAAGACTTGGAACCAACCCAAAAGTCCATCAATGATAGACTGGATTAAGAAAATGTGGCACATATACACCATGGAATACTATGCAGCCATAAAAAATGAAGAGTTCATGTCCTTTGTAGGGACATGGATGAAGCTGGAAACCATCATTATGAGCAAACTATTGCAAGGACAGAAAACCAAACACTGCATGTTCTCACTCATAGGTGGGAATTGAACAATGAGAACACTTGGACACAGGAAGGGGAACATCACACACCAGGGCCTGTTGTGGGGTGGAGGGAGGGGGGAGGGATAGCATTAGGAGATATACATAATGTAAATGATGAGTTAATGGGTGCAGCACACCAACATGGCACATGCACACATATGTAACAAACCTGCACATTGTGCACATGTACCCTAGAACGTAAAGTATAATAATAAAAAATAAATAAATAAATAAATGTTTTTCAATTCCCATTGTGATTTTTCTTGTCCCATTGGTCCTTTATGTATGTCTCGTTTAATTTCCACAAATGTGTACATTTTCCAGTTTCCCTTCTGTTATTTATTTCTGGATGCATTCTATTCTTGTTGAGAAGGCACTTTGTACAATTTTATTCTTAAAAAATTTTCTTTGAGACACAATCTTACTCTGTGGCCCAGGCTGGAGTGCAGTGGTATGAGCATACCTCACTGTAGCCTCAAACTCCTGGGCTAAAGTTACCTGCTTGCCTCAGCCTCCTGAGTAGCTAGGACTATGGGAAGACACCAACATGCCCAACTAAGTTTTAAAAAAATCTTGTAGAGACAGGGTCTCACTATGTTGTCCAGGCTGGTCTTGAACTCCTGGCCTCAATCAAACCTCCTGCCTTGGCCTCCCAAAGTGCTGGGATTTAGGAGTCAGCCACTGCAATTTCATTCTTTTTAAATTTAGAATTTTTTTGTTTAGAATGTGTTTGTTAGAATTTGTTTTTTGGGCAAACATGTGGTCTATCCTGGAGAATGTCCCATATGCACTTGAGAAGAATGTGTATTTTGCTATCATTAGATGGAGTGTTATATATACATCTGATAAGTATAGTTGATTTATAGTGTTGTTTAAGTTCTCTATCTCCTTATTGATTTTGTGTTTGATTTTTCCATCCATCACTGAAACTAGTGTACTAAAGTGTTCCACTACTATAGTAGAATAATACCAAAGCCAGACAAAGGCCTTACAAGAAAGGAAACTATAGAACAATATTTCTTATAAATATATTTTTAAAATTCTCAACAAAATACTAGTAAGCTGCATCCAGGAGTATATTAAAAGGATGATGCACCAAGACTAAGTGGGATTTGTTCCAAAAATAAAAGAGTGGTTTGACATATAAAAGTCAATGAAAGTAATATAACGTGTTAATAAAACAAAAAAATCACATTATCATAATAGATGCAGAAAAAATATTTGAAAACATTCAACAATCTTCCACATTAAAAAATGTCTCAAAAAACCCCTACTAATTGAAGGAAGCTCCTTCAACTGTTTAAAGACATTTCTGAAAAACCCACACACAAAAAAAATACTTGATGGTGAAAGATTGAAAGTTTTGCCTCTAAAATAAGTAACTAGATAAAAATGTTCATTCATGCCACTTCTATTCAACATTGCACTGGTAGTTCTAGCCAGGGCATTAGACATGAAAAATAAATAAAACCATATAGATTGTAAAAGAAGTAAATCTATTTTTATCCATAAATATCATAATCTTATAAATGAAATAATGTAAGGAATTCATGAAGAAAAAAATCTGTTAGAGCTACTAGATGAGTTCATGAAAGTTGCAGCTACAAGATCAATATAAATATTAGTTGTAATTCTATACACTAGAAATAAACAATTTGAAAACAAATGCATTTACAAGAGCATGAAAATAATAAGATAATTAAATAAATTTATTTTTATTTATCTATTTTTTTTGAGACAGAGTCTTGCTCTGTCGCCCAGGCTGGAGTGCAATGGCACAGTCTTGGCTCACTGCAACCTCTGCCTCTGGGGTTCAAGTGATTCTCCTGCCTCAGCCTCCTGAGTAGCTGGGATTACAGGCAACTGCCACCACGTCCTGCTAATTTTTGTATTTTTTAGTAGAGATGGGGTTTTGGCATGCTGGCCAGGCTAGTCTCAAACTCCTGACCTCAGGTGATACACCCGCCTTGGCCTCCCAAAATGCTGCGATTAAAGGTGTGAGCCACTGCGCCCAGCCAGATACTTAAATAAATTTAACTAAAGAAGCCCAATGCTTGTATAAAACATTGTAGAATACCTGTAGAATTTTGTAAAAAATTAAAGAATACCTAAGTTAATGGGAAGCGTGAAGGTGTCTGATTTTTTGGATCTGAAAACTTAAAGATGTTAAGATGGCAATACTTGCCAAATTAATCTATAGGTCCAAAATGATCTCTATCAAAATTTCAATGCTCTTTCTTTAAATAAATGGACACATTTATTCTAATACTCATATGTCAAAGCAAGGTACTGCTGAATGTCCAAATATTAAATAGCCAAAACGATCTTGAAAAAGAAGAATCAAGTTTGAGGATTCACATGTGCAGTTCTGAAAACTTATTGCAAAGTTACAGTAATCAAAACAATGTAGTACAGGCACACTGAAATGGAATTAAAAGTCTAGAAATAAATTCATATGCTTTGGTTAACTGATTTTGAAAGGGGTGCCAAAATCATTCAGTGGGTAAAATGTAGTGTTTACAACAAATGGTGCTGAGACAAACAGATATCCACACACAAAAGAATGAACTTGGACCCTCACTTCACACCACCCATAGAGAAAAAGGGAATCCTTCTTCAATCATTCTGTGAACCCAGTATCACCGTAATATCAAAATCAGGAAAGGACATAATAAAAAAAGAAAACTGCAGACCAATATCCCTGATGAACATAGATGCAAAAATCCTCAACAAAATACTAGCTAACCAAATCCAACAGCAAATCAAAAAGATAATATATCATAATCAAGTAGGTTTCATACCAGGGATGCAGGGATAGTTTAACATATGCAAGTCAATAAATGTGATACATCACTTAAACAGAATTTTAAAATATCATATGATCATCTTAATACATCCAGAAAAAGCATTTGATAAAATCCAGATTCCATTTATGATTGGCATAGAAAGGACATACCTCAAAGTAATAAAAGCCATCTTTGACAAACCCACAGCCAACATCACACAGAATGGGGAACAGTTGAAAACATCCCCGCTGAGAACTGGAACAACACAAGGATGCCCACTTTCTCCACTTCTATTCTACATAGTACTGAAAGTCCTAGCCAGAGAAATTAGGTAAGAGAAAGAAATAAGGGGCATCCAAATTGGAAAAAGTAAGTCAAACTGTCATTGTTTGCCAGTGATATGATCTTATAACTAGAAAACCCTGAAGACTCATCTGAAAAGCTCCTAAACCTGGTAAATAAATTGAGTAAAGTCTCAGGATACAAAATCAATGCACACAAATCTGTAGCACCGCTATATACCAACAACGACCAAGTTGAGAATCAAATTAAGACCATAATCCCTTACAACAGCTGCAAAAATAAATAAATAAATAAAATAATTAGGAATATACTTGCCCAAACAGGTGAAAGATCTCTAAAAGAAAAACTACAAAACACTGTTGAAGAAATCATAGATTACACAAAGAAATGGAAACACATCCCATGCTCATGGATGGTAGAATCAATACTGTGAAAATAATCATACTGCTCAAAGCAATCTACAGACTCGATGCAAGTCCCACCAAAATAGCATCATCATTCTTCACAGAACTAGAAAAAACAATCCAACAATTCATATGGACCCAAGAAAGAGCCCACATATCCAAAACAAGACTAAGCAAAAAGAACACAACTGAAGGCATCACATTACCCAACTTCAAATTATACTACAAGGCTGTACTTACCAAAACAGCTTGGTACTCATATAAAAATAGACATGCAGCCCAATGGAACAGAATAGGGAACCCAGAAATAAAACTAAATACTTACAGCCAACTGATCTTCAACAAAGAAAACAAAAACATAAAGTGGGGGAGAAAACACCCTATTCAGTAAATGGTTCTGGAAAAACTTGCAACCCACATGTAGAAGAAAGAAACTAGATCCTCATCTCTCACTTTATACAAAAATAAAATCAAGATGGATGAAAGACTTAAATCTAAATCCTTAAACCATAACAATTTTAGAAGATAACATCAGAAACACTCTTCTAGACATTGACTTAGGCGAAGAATTCATGACTAAGAACCTAAAAGCAAATGCAAAATAAACAAACAAATAAATAAATAAATGGCATCTAATTAAAACAAAAGGCTTCTGCACAGCGAAAGAAATAATCAACAGAGTAAATGGATAGCCCACAGAGGGGGAGAAAATATTCACAAACTATCCATTTGACAAAGGACTAATATCCAGAATCTACAAGGAGCTCGAACCAATCAGCAAGAAAAAAACAAATAATCCCACCAAAAAGTGGGCAAAGACAAAAGAAGATATACAAACAGCCAACAAACATATAAAAAAAGGCTCAAAATCACTAATTATCAGGGAAATTGCAAATTAAAACCACAATGAGATACCAACCTACTTTTTAAAGAATGGCCATAATTAAAAAGTCAAAAAATAATAGATGATGATGTGGATGTGGTGAAAAGGGAACACTTTCACACAGCTGGTGGGGATGTAAACTGGTACAACCACTGTGGAAAACAGTATGAAAATTCCTTAAAGAACTAAAAGCAGAGCTACCATTTGATCCAGTGATCCACCTACTGGGTATCTAACCAAAGGAAAATAAGTCATTTTATAAGAAGACATATGCACACACAATTTGCAACTGAAAAAATATGGGAACAACCTAAATGCCTATCAACCAATGAGTGGATAAAGAAAATGTGGTATATATACCCCATGGAATTCTACTCAGCCATAAACTGGAATAAAATATTGGCCGTTGCAGCAACTTGGATAGAACTGGAGGCCATTATTCCAAGTGAAGTAACTCAGGAATGGAAAATCAAATATCGTATGTTCTCATTTATAAGTGGGAGCTAAGCTATGAGTGTACAAAAGCATAAGAATGATATAATGCACTTTGGGGATGCAGGGGGAAGGCTGGGATGTGGGTGAGAGATAAAATACTACATACTGGGTACAGTGTACTCTGCTCAGGTGATGGGTGTACCAAAATCTCAGAAATCACCGCTGAAGATCTTATCCATATAAGCCAAAATTACCTGTACCCCCAAAACTATGGAAATTTAAAAAAATTGCCAGCAAAAAAATTTATTTAAAATGGTTTAAAGAGGCTGGGCATGGTAACTCTCACCTGTAATATCAGCACTTGGGGAGGCTCAGATGGGTGGATCACTTGAGGCCAGGAGTTTGAGACCAGCCTGGCTAATATGGCAAAACCCCATTTCTGCTAAAGATACAAAAACTAGCTGGGTGTTGTGGCAGGCACCTGTAATCCCAGCTACTCGGGAGGCTGAGGCAGGAGAATTGCTTGAACCCAGGAGACAGAGTTTGCAGTGAGCCAAGATCATGCCACTGCACTCCAGCCTGGGCAACACGGTGAGATTCCATCTCAAAAAAAAAAAAAAAAATACTAGCAAATCAAGCCCAGCAGCACATCAAAAAGCTTCAATGTACTCAAACCCTAAAATTCATATTAAACAAAAAAAAGAGCTCGAATGGCCCAAGCAATTTTAAGAAAAATAACAGAGCTGGAAGCATCACATTACTTGACTTCAAATTATACTACACGACTACAATAACCAAAACAGCATGGAAATGGCATAAAAATAGACACATAGGTAATGGAACAGAACAGAGAACCCAGAAAAGAAACCAGAGATCTACAGCCAGTTGATTTTTGATGAAGTCAACAGAAACATATGTGGGGGAAAGGACGCCCTTTTCAATAAACAGTGATGGAAAAATCGGATTGTCATATGCAGAAGAAAGAAACTGGACTCCGATCTCTCAACACATACAAACATTAACTCAAGATGGATTAAAGATCTAAATGGAAGACCTGACACTATAAAAATCCTAGAAGAAAACCTAGGGAAATCTCTTATAGACATTGGACATTGGTCTAGGCAAATCGTTCATGACTAAGACCTTAATAGCTCAAGCAAGTAAAATAAAAATAGACAAATGGGATTTAATTAAAAAAAGAAACTTCTGCACAGCAAAAGAAATAATCAAACAGTCAACAGAGTGAAAAAGAAAACCTGCACAATGGGAGAAAATATTTTCAAACTACGCATCAGACAGAAGACTTATATCCAGAATTTACAAGGAACTCAAACAACAACAACAAGGTAAACCAAATTACCAAATTAAAAAGTTGGCAAAGGATATGAATAGACTTTTTCAAATAATGGTCCACAGGCATATGAAAAATTATCAATATCAGTAATTATCAGAGAAATGTAAATTAAAACCACAATGAGATATCATCTCACACTGGTCAGAATAACTATTATTAAACTGACAAAAAATAAGAGATGTTAGCAAGGATGCGGAGAAAAGGGAATGCTTATGTACTGTTGATGGGCAAGTAAATTAGTACAACCTCTGTGGAAAACTAAAAATAGAATTACCATCTGATCAAGCAATCCCACTACTAGGTATCTACCCAAAGGAAAATAAATCATTATATCAAAAAGATACCTGCATTTGTATGTTTATCACTGTAGTATTCACAATAGGCACTTAGGAATCAACCTAAGTGTCTATCAATGATGATTCAATAAAGAAAATGTAGCATATATACACAATGGAATATGATTCAACCTTAAAAATAATGAAATAATGTATTTTGTAGCAATATGGATGGAACTGGAAGACATTATCTTAAGTGAAACAACTCAGAAACAGAAGGAAAAATACCCCATATTCCCACTCATAAATGGGAGTGAAATAATGTGAACATGTGGACATAGCGTGGAATGATAAACACCGAAGATTTGGAAGGGTGGGAGAGTGGGAGGGAGGGAGATGATGAGAAATTACTTAATGGGTACAATGTCTTTATTCAGGTGATGAAACACTAATAGCTCAGATTTCACCACTAAACAATATAGCTATGTAACAAAATGGCACTTGTACCATTTAAATTTATGCAAATAAAAATGGTGCAGATATCGTGGAAAGCAGTTTATTGATGTCTCAAACTGTTAAGCATAGCGTTACCATATCATCCAGTAATTTCACTCCTACATATATAGCAAAAAATGGAAAAAAAGTGTTCAGAACAAAAAGTTGTACACAAATGATTGTGTGACATTATCCATAAAGTCAAAATATGGAAACAATACAATGTTCATCAATTGATGAGTGGGTGAAAAACTGTGTATCCAAAAAATAATATAATATTTAGCAATCAAAAAGTACAACAAAAGTAATATATGTTACAACTTGGATGGACATTGAAAACATTATACAAAATAAATATTTTATTATTGCATTTATATGAAATATTCAGAATAGGCAAATCCATAGAAATAGAAAGGAGATTGGTGGTTGCCAGAGGTTGAGAGGAAGGGAAATTGGGAGTGACTGTTAAAAAGTATGGGGCTTTTTAAGGGAGGTAATAAAAATTTTATGGAATTAGTGGTAATGGTTGCACAACATTGTGAATACACTAAAACTCACTGAACTGTATGCTTTAAATTTGTTAAAATGGTGACTTTCAAGTCATGTGTGCTTTATCTTGAATGAATATAAATAATGCCAATAAACGTGAGCCCAGTAATTCTTCTAAGAATTTTTCTGTAGATGTATATATATAACATAATAGTATTTTGCATAACTTAAATGTCTAACAATATGAGATTAGTTAAATTAATGCACCTACACAGAATACAATGTATTCATTAGAAAACATGTTATAGATCCCCAAAAGTGGTAGTATACATTATTATATGAATAAAAGAGGTTTCAAAATAGTATTTACAAGATACTTCTGCATGTTGGTCTGACATATAAAGAGGTTACAGGTCATCATTGCCATCCTTGAACCAAAAAAATGACTGAACTGAAAACAAACAACTCTTATTAGATCCATCAGAGAATTGAGGTAGAGGGCAAACAATGTCCCCAAAACTGGAGAGAAACGTCAGTGCTGAAAGTTGTAGCTTACCAGGATCAGAAGCCTGCCACTGGAGCCAGTACTGTTAGGAACACTTGATCTCTAATTGATGAGTTGCTGAGGGCGCAAGGTGATCTGGCTTGAGAAGTAAGAATCTTGAGGGGAAAGTTTTAACATGGCACCCACAATTTTGTAATTTTTACCTCCAGAAAACCTACCAGGTTCTAAGGGTGAATGTTGGAGAGAAATCCTCTTGTGATACTCCATGGGGAGGGGAAAAGTAAGCATTTTGTAAGACAGCCAGAGCATTCGGTTCTCCTTAAACATGGGTCATTCTCAAAATAAAACACTATTTACCAGAGACTAAGTTACATGGTTTTTACTAGAGTCTAAATGGCACAAGGGAAGAGAAATACACAACTCCAGTGGCCCAGCCACACTGTCTTACCTATGGGAGAAAAATCTAAGAAGCACTTGTGAAAGTCACAGCCTAGGGACACATGCTTCTGAAAGATTGAGATCTAATCATAGAATCCTTCCTGTCCCTCACACCTTACTGCCACATCAATAATTAGATTACAATTTAAGGATTGCAACATTCAGACCCTATTTAAAAAAAGAGTCTCTAAAGAAACTCAACAGGAAGACAAAAACAAGGACATGAGAGAAAAATTGAGTATTTGACACTACAGCTACAGCAAATAATAAACACAGACTAGGTCTCAGTCAGATAAACATAATATTTCACATTATTGTTCGTGTTACTCAATATATTATAACTGGATTTCAACAAAAAACTGCAAGGCATGTTAGAAGGCAAAAATACAGAATAAAGAGGCAACATAGGTATCAGAATTAAACTAAGCTATGACAGAAAATTTGGAATTATGAACTGAATTAAACATAATTTTGATTAATGTTAATCATAATTAATGGGAAATTAATGGGAAATGTGGACAACATGAAAAACACATGAGTAATGTGAACAGAGAGATGGAAACCATAAGAAAGAACCAAAAATAAATTCTAGAAATCAACAACACTATAAAAAAAAATGAAGAATGTCTTCAATGGGTTCATCAGTAGCTTAAACATGGGCAAGGAAATAATTGGTGAATGTAAAGATCTGAATATAGAAATTTTCAAAACTAAAATGTAAAGAGAAAAATAGTAAAAAATAAAAGGTGGAGCAGAAAATCTAAGAACAGTGAGACAATTACGAAAGGTGTAACATATGCAAAATGGTAATACCATTAGAAAAAAAGGAAAGAAACGAACAGAAGAAATATTTGAAGCAATAATGACAGAATTTTCCAAAATTAATGACAGACATCAAACTACAGATACAGGAAGCTAAGAGAACACCAAGCAGGATAAATACCAAAAAAAATCTACACCTAGGTACATAATATTAAACTGCAGAAAATCAAAGACAAAGAAAAAATTTTGAATGACGACATAGGGAAAAAACACCTTACTTATAGACAAATAAGCATAAGAATTACATTAAAAGACTCTACAGAAATCAGGCAAGCCAAAGGAGAATGTGTTAAAGTATTAGAAGTGTTGAAAGAAAAGAACTATCAACTTAAAACTCTGTGTCCAGTGAAATTATTCTTCAAAAGTGAAGGAGGGATAAAGGCTTTCTCAGACAAACAAAAAATTGAGAAAATTAGTCATCAATAGGCATACCTTGCTAGAAGTGTTGCAAGTTGTTTGGAGAGAAAGAAAATCATATAGACCATAAACTCTGATCTACGTAAGAAAATAAGATTGTTAGAGAAGAAATAAATAAAAGTAAAATAAGACATTTTATCTTAAAATTTGAATTGATTTAACATATAGTTTATTAAAAATAATAACAGCAACAATGTATTCAGTGAATATTTTTTATGAATAAATGAAAGAAATGATAACATTATCATAAGGGATGGGAGAAAGGAATTGGGAGTATCCTGTTATACTTTCACTACCCATGAAATGTACAGTGTTATTTGACTTTGATTAGTTGTAAATGTATACTGCAAACTCCAGGGCACCCACTTAAAATTTTAAAAATGAGTTGAAATTCTAAGTAAGGAAACATTAGAATCATATAACATGCTCAATTAAAACCAGAGAAAACAGAAGAGTAAAAGACAAAATGAGAAACAAAGAAAAAAGGCATCAAATTGAATATATTTACAAATATGGTAATATTAGACCAACTATATTTATAATAACTTTATATAGGAATGGTCTAAATACACCAATGGAAAGGCACAGATTGTCAAAGTGGATAAAAAATCAAGTCCCAACTCTATGCTATCTTTAAAATATGTATAATATGATTCTAATTTTGTAAAATCTTTTTAGATCCATGTTTGTATCTTATCTCAAGAACAACTAGAAACAGGGTGAAAAGGGCATAAATCAAAGGTTATTGGTGATCATATATTGATGGTAAAATTATTGGCAAAATTCATTTTATTACTCCCTTCACATGTTTTAAACATTATCTACAAAGAGATTATATTGTTTTTCTAATAAGAGAAAACAATACATTTTATTGAAATAACGCTGCAATTGAGAATGTCCATGCATTTTATAAATTGGCATCTAAATTTTACAAAGTTATCTGAATTAATCAGGATCCATGCTGAATAATATAATATGCTGACCCTAGTTATGGATTTTCTTAGCACAATGCTTTATTAATACACATTTTTATCTTCAAAAAACTTTAAATACTTATAATAACATTTAGAATTCATTATAGCAAAGTTAGAAAATTCAAATAAGAAAATCACCTCTCTTTATAATACCATTTCCAACCTTACAATGTGTGTGTGATTATGGCATATAAAATTTTGTAGTTTGATTTTTCACTAATTTATATATTGTATACCTCTTCTTAAGCCCATTAATATACAAAATAGCTACAGTTCAGTCTCCTAATGAAGATGCCATAATTTTTAAAATGTATATCTATTTAAGATTTAAGGTTTATTCCATCTTCTCTTGATACAAAAAAAGTTACTGTGAATAACTTTGTCATTCATTTTTGTACAGTTACAGCAAGTATATTTATAAAAGAATAAGTACAAAGCTAAAGGATATGCACATTTATATGGCTTTTGAGGCATATTGACAAATTATCCTCCCCCAAATTTAACAATAAACCCTATCAACTGCGGTGTGTGACTTTTTCCACACAACTTCATTGACTCTGGCCATAATGATTTTTTTTATTCTTGTCAATATTATAGATAAAAGGAAGCTCTCTCATTTCAATTTGAATTTTAATATAAGTGAGGTAAATAAGTTTCAAATTTATATCTTTTTAAAAATAAATTGATTAAACTGCCCATTTTCATTTGACAGTTTCTTATTGATTGGCAATAACTCTTTATATATTAAAATTATTAACTCTTCAACAGTCTATATTGTAAATGTTTTATCTGTTGTTGTCTTTTAGTTTTTGTTTTATAGTGTGTTTTACGTACAGGTGTGGTTGACTGCTAAGAGCCAAATCCATCAGTCTTTACCTTTATGGCTTCTGCCTCAAAAGTTATGCCTCCAAAGCCTTCCTCTTCATAACATGATATAGATATTAATCCATTTTAGTTTAATGACTTTTATGGTTAAGCCTAATGTTATCACTACTACAATTTGAAATACCTAATGTTATTATTACTATTAGATTTGAAAAATCTAATATTTGAAAGATTTGCTAATTTGAAAAATTTAGCAGTCATTAAGTTTGCAAATTCCATGTAGGCACATTTAAAATATCTTCTAATGAAGAAAATTATTGTCGTTCTTAAGTAAAATGTTTCACTATTATTTTTTGTAATATTCTACAACCACAAACATAAAATTATGCATATATAGGTATGTATGTACATTTATATATATTTAAACCAATCTACTCTTTCTTCTCTCCTTCAGAATCATCTGTTATTGTCTTTGTAGGGATATGTGTACGTGCATGTTAACAACGTATGGGTTTATCAAATAATTGATGCTTTAGCCATAATTTTTCACTGTCATCATGGCTATATCCCAAAACATCATACAGTGACTGTGTTAAAAAACGTTACTGGATTTGCCCATATATTATGGCATTATATGCATTTGAACACTGATAATATAAAATCATAGTAACATTTTTATGTCTATAGTTATACTGCACAGCAGCCAAAATACACCATGTTATTCAAGAGTGTACTCATTATATGCCATACATCTTCTGTACCAATTATCAACCAAATTTCCCTTTAGTAACTCCTTTGGATAATTGGTAGTTCAAATAAGCCTGTTCTGATGATGATAGTGATGCTGATGACTGCCATTTAGTTAGAGAAACCTAATATTCAGTATATATATATACATATATATACATATATATACATATATATACATATATACACATATATATATACATATATATACATATATATACATATATATACATATATATATACGTATATATGTATATACATGTATATATACGTATATATATATGTGTGTGTATATATATATATATATATATATATATATATTTTTTTTTTTTTTTTGACGGAATCTCCCTGTGTCGCCCAGGCTGGAGTGCAGTGGCACCATCTCGGCTCACTGCAAGCTCTGCCTCCCAGCTTCACGCCATTCTCCTGCCTCAGCCTCCCGAGTAGTTGGGACTACAGGCGCCCGCCACCACGCCCCGCTAATTTTTTGTATTTTTAGTAGAGACGGGGTTTCACCGTGTTAGCCAGGATGGTCTGATCTCCTGACCTCGTGATCCGCCTGCCTCGGCCTCCCAAAGTGCTGGAATTACAGGCGTGAGCCACCATGGCCGGCCTATTCAGTATACTTTTGTGTTTTAATCTGTACACAGTAACTAGAGCTATTTTAATTTTCAAGGTAGAATAACTTAGTACTGTATAACAGTAATGTGCTTTGTCCTCAGTTTTTTCACTGAAGATTGTTGTCTGATAAGAAATTTTTATTTTATAAAAAAATAAATCGAAATGCCTTCGGTAGCACTCCATTGCTGCAATTTGTCGTCAGGCACTGTGAGACACGCGTGTTACAAATAAATATTTTAAATATTTAGTTACATAATAAGTGATGCTGTGGAGATGGCCATCCATTGGAGTTATGCTTTTATGGCGTGAAAGTTGCTGTGGTCCCTTACAACTTCTGCAAGTGATCTCTCTAGATTGCAATCACACATGTATGCTTTACTCTTTTCTATACTCATCACTGGGGGCTCCCTTGTATAGGGAGATATTCACCTTGAAAGAAAATCCCACTAAGAAACATTACTATTCTGGAGCGTTTTAGCATTGCTGAGATAAAAACATTCATGGTGTAGAGATATTTTCTGGCAGCGTGTTTCATGGGAGTTACACAGAGACAATGGTTGGATTCATATTAATTAATTTGAATGTCATATTTAGGAATCAGTCATTGCCCACAGATAATCCTAATTTGCTCTTATTGAGAGTATGAGAAAACTCAGCAAAAGAAAATATTAGGTACAAGCTATTTTGTTAGGTAAAGCTGAAATATTTGTGCTTCATACCCCAGCCTGTCAATATATATCAGTAGCAAGCTAATAAGAATTTACCAACAGTTTTCTTCTGTAAAACTTATCAATTCCCTAAACCTCATCTGCCAGTAGTTTGACATTTTAAATTATTTTTAGAAGGGCAAATTAGAAATCAAGGACATACTTACCAAGCTAATATCAGTGTAGTTTACAAAAATGTAAAGCAGGTTTTGAGGGGAAGTACTACGATTACAGTACTTCCCCTCAAAACCTATTTTACATACCCCGGAGATGTTAAAGAAAATAGAGACACTTGGTTCTCAAAGTTCACTGTGAAACATTTTCCATTAAACTTTACTTTTATTCCCTAAATTACGCCAGTGTAAATGCACTGGGAGTTTATTCATAAGAGGAAATAGTACTGTTAATTCTAACAATCAGCAATAACTGTTAGAACTGATTGACAGACTTGTGCCCAGAGGTTTCATGCTAAGAGTTCACAGAAGGATATCAATACAGATGGCCCTGGGCTGATATTCTAGCTGTGTTGAAAAACTGGCTGCTCAGTGACAGAACATCAGACGTAATCCTAGCAGCATTTTCTTTTACTATTTGAGTATAATAGGAACACTGAAAACCTGGAATTTAGAACAGTGCTTTATCCTATCTATTTATTTTACTATGGAAGTCTGAGAGCTAGTCTCAAAACAATAACAAAATACACACAAAGCCTTCCATATGACAACTGGCTCTAATATATATATATCATAGCCTAATTCAGAAATCCTTTTTAAAAAAAAACCCAACACCCTCAAAATGTAAAGTAGAAATCACTAGAAACATTTTATAGAGACTCTCCTCACCTCAATGCTTTCCTTTTTTTTTTTTTTTTTAATTGAGAAGGAGTCTTGCTCTGTCGCCCAGGCTGGAGTGTAGTGGCGCAATCTCGGCTCACTGCAACTTCCGCCTCCCGGGTTCAAGTGCTACTCTTGCCTCAGCCTCCCAAGTAGCTGGGACTACCGGATAATTTTTTGTATTTTTAGTAGAGATGGGGTTTCACCGTGTTAGCCAAGATGGTCTCGATCTCCTGACCTCATGATTCGCCCGCCTTGCCCTCCCAAAGTGTTGGGATTACAGGCATGAGCCACCATGCCCGGCCAATGCTTTCCTTTTAAAAATTAGAGAGTGAAGGAACATTTCTGCCTTTTGTTTCTCCCAAACTCATCCATTGCTTCCTAATTGTGGATGCCTTTGAGAACTCTGATTTTAGCAAAATACAGGAGGTAAGTGAATAACTTTGTATGAGTTCTAGAAAATTATTTGTTTTGAGCAGAAGGAGACACAATTGGAGGTTACTGTGCATCTATAGTAGTCAATATCAACTTCAAGTGAAATGTAAGTCAAGGTGGTGGAAACATTAAACCATTGCTTCACACATAATACAACAAACACTAAAAGAATGAGTACTATGTACCAGACTCTGTGCTAAGTGCTCAATAAAAGCATTAGTTCATTCATTCATCATTTTATATTGGGGGTGCTGGGTGCTACGGTAGATATTAGGAGAGTTACAGAGTAATAAAGACAATCTCTAGTCCAGTGGGGAGACAAATACAATTGAAAATAATTCTAGTATAATGTCACTGGCCAATAATAAAGTAAAAGCTACCATTTAGTAGTTGCCTCCTTTGTACTAGACATTGTTCAAATTATTTAAGTACTTCAACTCCTTTAAGCCTATATAAATCCTGTAGGTAGTATTCTCTACATTTCAGACAAGGAAATTAAGGCTCAGGGTGAGTAAATTTGTTTTTTTAATGTCAGAGACAGAATTGAGATTTAAACCTAAGTTTCCCTGTTTCAAAAGCCTGTGTTCTTTGACAGGGAAAAGTGTATAGGTTACAAAGCAGATTAAAAATAAATGGACCTTTCTTTCACAGAAGGAAAGTGATTGTACTCGGTCTCAAAGGAGTACACAAGATGGGAAGGAGATACTGGCAGAGCTGGCTTTGGCATTTAAAACTGGCTTCACACAAAAATAAAATTGAATGGCTAAATTTGTGGTAAAAATTTATATTTTTCATAGAATGACATTAAATTGCAATTTAAAAAATGTTATTTTAGCAAGAAAAAGAGAACATGGCAGAAAGGGAAAACCTTTATATATAACTTTAATGGCACTTATTTCTTGCTTTTTAAACAAGGGATCCCACATTTTCCTTTTGCACTTATCCCCAGGAATTATGTAGCTGGTCCTGGGTCCTGATCATTTTAGGCAAAGAGAGCGTGAGTTCTAAGGACATGGAAGCATTAAATCTATGCATTGCGTAGGTTGTGGGCGTATGTTTAGCATATGAGGGGATGTAGCAGGAATTGAGATTTAAAAAGTAAGACCGCCTTGTATGCCATCCCCAATCAGGGAGGAGGCATTAATGGATTAAGACTAATAATAACATGACCCTAATAAAATCCTAGGAAGAGCCCTTTAGTAGTTTGGTTATGATAGAATGCAGTGGAAAAGACTACTACCTAAAAGATGAGTTGGACTGAAATTCTTCAGGTAGGAGATAATAGAGGTTTAAACTAAGATAATGGCAATTTGGAAGGGAAATGATTTTGAAATATATTTCCGAGGTAGATGTGATAGGATTCAATGACTGTTTGTATGTTGGTAATAAATCAAAAGAAAAATTCAGAATGTCCCTGAGGTTTCTAGCTTGAGCGATTCAATGATGGTTATGGATTAACTAAGAAAAGGATTATTCCAAAAGGGGCATGTTTGAAAGAGAAGATAAAAATGTTGTTTTTAATATATTTCATGCCCTTCATTATTACATCTGAATGAATATATCCAGCAGACACTTGGAAATATATGGACAGAAATGTTTGTGTACCAGTAAGACAATATTTTGCTACTTTGGTAGCAATTTTGAATTGTCTGACTTTCTGATTTGTGGTCATATATATTCAGAACCAGCTTCTAAGTTCAGAAATAAGTAAATCAGCCTGGGAGACTGAAAGATTGTTCACAAAGTCTCTGGTCTAAAAACATAGTATGTATGCCTGTTGGCTCTGACATAAAGACATAAATTTTACACCTATTAAAATTTAATGAGCTTGAGTATCTATCCCTGAGACCTGTGTCACTCATGCCATACTTCATGAAGAGCTCTTACAAGAATCAAGGTTGTACAATAGAGGAATATATGAAAATAAAGGAAAGTATATTCCCTTAGAAACATGTTAAATAACTGATATTGAATGAAATGATTTGTGTAAAGACAATTTATCAAATGCAAATTGCTACGAATATGTGCTATGGTTTTAGTAGTCACTCTAGGTAAAACTAGTCATCCATAAATACCAAGAGAATAAGACATTTTCTACCTTCACATAGTTGCAGATATTGTAAGAACTAAGAAGGAGTGGTTTATCCTGGGAGAAATATATGGGCAGCTAAAGCACTGGAAGCTTTTAGGGGCTTTAAAACCCATCAAGCCCAATGGGCTATAGAGTGAGAACTTAGCACATGGGGCCACCTTTATGTTTTTAATTTTATTTTACTTTAAATGGAAAATAGTAATTGTACATTTTATAGGAAAATGTGATCTTTTCATATATGTATACATAGTGGAATAAATAAATCCAGCTAGTTAACATATCCATCACCTCACTTACTTAATTTTTGCAGTGAGGACATTTGAAATCTACCATTTTAGCAATTTTGAGATAAACAATACATTATTAACTATGGTTACAATGCTATGAAATTGAACACTAAAACTTATTCCTAATGTGTAACTGAAATTTTATACTCTTTGACCAACATTTCCCCTTCCCCATTCACACTCCCAACCCCCAGCATCTGGTAACCACCGTTCTACTCTCTACTTCTGTGTTTTCAAACTATTGGATACAGAGGAGAGAAAATTTAGGGGGAAAAAGAAATAAGAGGAGACTTTAGGTTTATTTCTTTCTGGAGCACCAAGATATTAAAGATGAAAGAACTTTAAGAGAATAAAGGTGGCATTTTTCTGGAAGTAAATTGTATATTTGCTTGAAGGTGGCCTAACCTCTATTCCTCTAGTGAACTGCGTTTGTCCTTCAAGTTGCAAGTGAGATGTCTTTTCTCCAGGAAGCATAGAACCGTGTGTGCTTTAAACCCCCAACTATCTGTCAAAGCTAACAATTTGTCCATGGGAAAAAAAAATCTGCCTCATTCTGAGTTCTGTATTAAACCCTAAAGAAATAGCAACCAGTGCATTCTCAGTAGCAGGATATAAAATTATTCTTCCTCATTTCAGTATGCTGGGTGATAGGAGCAAGGACTTTAATGGGACTGTAAATATCGTAGGGGCTCTGACTTTGGGGTTAGCTTGGTCAGGGAAGTACAGGTGGTAAGAAGTAGGATAAGATTTCAGTTGGACTTTGTCTTCTTAAGGTGGCAAAAACCCTACGTCTAAAAGTAGTAAAAGGAGTGAAACTTTGGAGGGTAGAAATGGAGGTGAGGCCTAGCTGATGCCATGGTTCATATATAAAAGATGTTCAGTTGTAATGACACTTAGAATTCAGGGATGTTCTATATTAGTAAAGTTGAAAAAATTAGATTGATTGAGACTTCGGATGAAATGTTTTATTTCAAATAAAACTCCATTTCTGGCTTATGATTTTATAGATATTTGTGGAAGCTTAAATCCAAATATTAAACCTTGCCAAGAACAGTTTCTTTATGTTGATTGACCCATGGAACACCTCGCATTCTCATAGTTAGCTAGAATTGTAAGCATCTGTGAAAATTGATAGCATGTGTACCATCCTTGATTATACTGAATACTCCTTTTAAATTAAAAATATGTAGAGAATAATATAAAAGTGTAATTTTATGACATATAATTGTCTCTCTTCCTGAAACTTCTCCAATCGCTTCATCCCACAATGCTCTCAGATTGATATGCCAAAAGAGTTGCTGTTATATGTTCATTACCACCTACTCAAGGTGTTCTATAATATAGCCCCATTTTAACTATCAAATCTTATCTCCCAGTAAAGCTGGACAAGAAGTCTGTGCTTTCTTAGAGTGGATTTCTTTCTGTTCCATGAATAGTACTTACCATTTTACTTTCTTACCCTGGGGCTTAGCTGCTACTGAACTCTTATCTTTTTCCTCTATCCCACAAATCCTTCTTGTTATTTAGGGCTGTAATCAAGTTTCACAAAACCTACCCATTATTCCTGCACATAACATGTGTTTCCTTCTTTATCTCTGTACCATACATATTGGCATTTAATTATCTAGCATTTGTAGTGATTTTTAATTGTTTATGATGTGAACACTGTTTTCTCAGTTCTATTAGAACTTTCTTGCTATATAAAGTATCCTTTTCTATGCCAGACACAAAATTATACCTAAATACTTAATTTAATGCTCCCGTTTGACTAATTAAGATAGATTTTGAGGTGTGTTTGAGGTGTGTTAATGTTGTTCTGGAACTTCTAAGATCTTTACATACTGCTAATGTCATAAATGGCATGAAGAACCCAAGAGGCATGCTCTACTAAATTTTTCGCACAAATATTACACAAAAGATTATGGGTTTCATGCATTTAAAAAAGCATCCAAAAGTGAAGAAATACTCTCCCCATGAGAGCATAATGAATTGTTGTGTAATGTACTAAAATGTTTATTAGTTGAGTTGAAATGCATTTGTGGTTATTGTAGCTCTCTTATTTGAATAAGTGAGAGAAGTTGTCCATGAGGCATAGATAATTCCAAAGATGTTAATAAATATGCCTGGTAATCAAGGAGCTTTAAAATTAGTACAATTGCCTTTCTGGAGCTTCTGCCTCCCATACTTCTAATGTATTAGAACATAAAACAGGGTTCCATGCTTGTGTTCTCAGTTGTACTATCATTCAGTTTAAACCTAGAAACTTTAGAGAAGGATTGCAGGGTAATTGACAGAGGTGTAAAAAATGAACTCTTACATGGCCAGTTGGGGTCAGGAGAGGGGACTTTTTGTTTAGACAACTAAAGAACTGAACTTCAGAATTGTTATTATAATCTGGGCATTTTATATTCAAAATGAGTACCATCCCTCCCAATGATTGCCTACTATCTTCATACCTCACATTTGCTTTACATCTCATAATTTAGCTACTCATATGCTTTAAGAGAGAGTTGAATCAGGTGAAACTGGACAAATGCCCAGGTTTGATTTCAGTAATTCATTGACAAAGGGAAGCAGGAGTGTTTTGTGCGTATATCCTCTGTGTGTATGCACACATGCATGCATACGAATGCAAAAGGGAATAAAACTATGCAGATTCCTTTTACTTTACCTGTAATATCTGACAATTTTCTATAATTTTAAATGAGGGAGTCATTTAGTTATGTTTGTGATTGGGGGTAGTTTTCCTCCAAGTTCAAGCTGAAGTGGTAAATTTTCGGTTCAATATCACTTTTGGTCTTTATAATGCTGACAGCTGTCTAACAAAAGAAGCAGCTCCTTGACATTATAATTCTTCAAATAGTAGTTGTTTGCCTTCTTTTGATATATTGGACATTTGATGGTCTTTAAAGACCCTCACACTCACTCCCTAATCTCATATTCTATTTTAAATTATTTTTAGAACTCCATCCACATCGACACCTATCCCTAAGTAAGAGGGCACAATGCTAGTGTTTGCTGGGCGAGAGAGGCCTTTATAACCAAATACATAGGGGTTCAGTTATATATAAATAGCATTATACATGATTGGCATACATTGGGAAGAACAGAAACAGCTGTATCTGGCAAAAAGATTAGGTGACTTGTAAGGTATGGGAAGACACTCAAACTAGGATTGTAATTATAGATGACAGTGTCTTGAGTATGTCTGGTGGTGGGAGCAGCTGTGATCCCTCACCCTTACTCCATGATTAGTGAATTTAAGGAAGTCAGAGACCATAGAATTTGCATGAGGCTGATCCAACTCCTACAGCCATATTTCCAGGATGAACATAAACTGTATTTTCTCCAAAGAGAGTGCAAAGGAAAATAATGTAATGTGGATCCTCCCAACCCTAGGAGAAAATTGTTTACTGAGAAAGAATTGATATGCAGTGAAACCACCATCCAGCAATGACAGAATTCTTATCCTTGACCCAGTTCCTTTTCTTAAGGCTAAGGTTCCTATGTTGTTGGAGGAGGGAGGTGGTTGTGAAGAGGAGGATGTGGAAGGGTTGTCAAGGGGTAGCATTGAAATGACAAGCAATCCTATCCCAGTAAACTTGAAGGTATATGGTGGGTCTCACTCCCAATATTTTTCTGTTTCAGTTTCTTCTGATGGGTCAATTAAGTGGGCTTTCAAATAACCAGAAGAGTCCTATAATTGCTTTCACTTCCTTAGAAGTCCTAACCATCCATGGGACCCAAAATCAAATGATGTCCATTGATGTTAAGCCAGTGCAAATAACTGCTACCAGGTGAGATAAACCCACAGGCAGCATTAGGCACCTGAATACCTGAGAGTAGGGCAGCTACTAGCACATGCTTTCCTTGATTGTTAGATTGACTTTTAAATAGTGCAAGCATGAATATCATATGTTTGCCTGTTGAGGACTTGCTTTGTGTATTATGGCAGGGGCTATAGTATGCTACCAGAGCAGGCCTACTTAGCAAACCAAAATCTTAGGGATCTTTGTCCTTTATAACACAGAAAGAGCTTGTAGTCCTGTCAGGACTCTCAAGATTTCCATAAACAAGGATGGTGTGGACATGATAGTGAGAAGAAACATCTGTGGATTTACCAACATGGTTCCAAAGTAGAAGACCTACAGTCATTGGGTGACCAGCTAGAACACTGTGAGATACAATACATTTCAAAAGATAGGCAAGGAGTGGGAGTGTCACTGCCGCTTCATAGGAAAACCTGAGAGGTTTTATAGTCAACCAGAATTTGAGTGAGCTCCAGTATTTTACCAGAAGTGAACCAAGAGAAAGTAAGAGCACAGATTAAATAAACTGTAGGGCAGGGCTATAACTGGCCTTGGTTTTTCACTACACTGTGATAGGCACTTGGACGTACAAAGAGACTTGATATTTTGGGGGGCCAGAGAAGATATACCCCTTCCATTTTTGTTTGCTTTTTAGTGTAGGTGACTCTAGAATAAACTTTTGATGATAACAAATACTCAGAAAATATTTTCTAGTTCTTGGTGCACCCATTTTTCCTGCTTCCCAGTGTAACCCTTCCTCCTGGAAGCAGGTTCACTAAGCACACATAACTAGGAAAAGGCAATCCAGTGTGAATCAATACAACAATTGAGGACAGGAATATCAGCCTGTTTAAACAGATGAACTGAAATAAGAACTGTGTTCCTATCTGCTTGAAAATAACAAAACTAGAGGAAGATTTGCAAACATCTGGCTAGTTCCCGTATTTTGATTTGCACTGACTCTACTATATGTTTCAATGACTGCAGTTGGCAGTTTGAAAAGAAATACTCAGTGACAATTGACAAAGTCAAAATGTTTTTATTTACGCTGAAGTTTAGCAAGTACATTTTTAACAAAGAAGGTGTACTTTAACGTTATGTATAGTAGAACAGGGAAACCATACATATAACTTTCTAGTCTCTAACACACTACTGCATTTTTTAAAAATTTAAAAGACAAAAAGCCAAGTTGAAATGAGCATAGAAAAGCATCAAATATGGTCAAGTTACTTTAGCCATTAGGTTTTAGTTCATATTTTTAAACTGGTCAGTCTAATGCAAGAACAAAGTTTACATCATTGCTTTTAAAATGTACACGCGTTTCTTTTTTAATGTAACATAGATTAAATAGCTCCTTCAGTAAACAAAGCTTTGCTGATAAACAAAACTGAAATAACTCCATGTTGAATAGTTTCAGAGATAAACTGGAATCACAAGCATCTTCATTTATGTAAAGCCAGCGAGGACCTTTCAGGCTGAATACAACTGTTGTGCCATTTCTAAACAGTAATAGTTACCTCCTTAAAAAAAAAGAAAACAAGTTAGTTCTTATGAAGAGTCATTCTGATACGTGCTTAAAAATACTAAAACTTCTATCTTCAGGAACCTAAAATGATCTGATGTAACAGGCTCAATTTAGTGTTGGTAAAATTTAACATTTCTTAACATTTCTATATTTTCATCTGTCAGTTTTCAAAGATCCTTCAAATTTCATGCTATAGCTTCTGTTCTTCTTTCCACAGCACCGGAGACATTGAAGACTGATAAAGGCTCTTCATGAACTATATTATAATGTCTGTAATAATCTATATTACTTTTTTTTTTGTATATAATGGTGCATCTGAAATACCATCCCTGTGGTTTACCAAAACAGGGGGAAAAGAGTATCTGGTTATGATCTAAGATAATGACAGCTTTGTACATTTAAAATTTCCTCTCCCGGGTTAACCCTGAGACTGTGTATACTGCATGAAGGGAGACTAGTTTGGAATATCGTTTCAGCTACAGTGTTTAGTCAAACCGGTATCCCTCTAAATGATAGTCATTAAAAGAGCCCATGCCATCCTAGAGTTAGATAATATTTAATTTGGGTGGGTAAAAGTTATTGTTGGAAATTTTTAAAAAAAAATTTATTCTACCTCTTTTTGTCAAACCTTGTTATTTTCCATAGCAATGGCTTATAACCTGAGTCTCTATTTAGATACATCACAAAGATTGGCTTTTGGTTACAAAAGAAGTAGGAAAAGAAATGTGGATGAATCCGTACAAATCCATTACCTGTGCTTGAGAAATACTTAAAGATAATGTTTCTGAGTCAAGTGCTTTATTTTCACATATAATGGAGAGGACATTATCATTGTTGGACTAATATGTCTAATCTAAAATATTAAGTCAATCTGGTCAAGCTTATTAGGAGGAAAGTATACCCTTTTTTAACCTTGTGTATAATATCTTTAAAATCTTTATTCTTTCTGTGTATAAGGTATCATGGTGAGTGGCAGAATTTTCTAGATAATACCTCAGAACCAAAAATAAAGATGTAGTAAGGTAATAGATGAATAAAAGATTTGGGGTTTGGGTTAGTCAGACTTATGGAGGGTTGGACTTCATCAGAGGGCAACCAGACATTTTCCCAAGAAGCCCATGGAATTCACTTAAACTTTTCCAGGGACCAGAAGAAAACAAAGCTTGAATTTTTGGACACTGGTAATTGTTCCAACTCCTTTGTGGAGTCTGAGAATATTTACTCTGATGAATTGACCAAATATTTGCTCAGTCCTCCAGTCTACCTCATCCTTTGTATACACAGCCTAAATGTCAAAGGAAAGCTCTTTGACATGAAATGACAGTCATTTTACCAGGATTGAAATTTATACAATATAGCTAAAGCTTAAATCATGCAACACAAACTGTGAACATTACAAACTGGAAAGCAATAGCACACACTATGTCCCCTTAAAAAGGGTACATGAACTCAGCAATGAATAGCGAAAGACAATCACCATTTGTCCTTTAGAAAAATGCAGTTTCTGAAAAATTTCTACTTTTGTTATGTTTATTTCTTGCCTTTATTTAGAGACAGAAATATTTGCCCACATCCTTTATGTGTCTGCTTACAAGGCCTATTAGGAATAGTTCCCATAGCTGCTCAAAAATTGAAAGAAAAACTAGGCTAGCAAGAAGAAAACAATATTAAGTGAATCAACTTTTCTACCAGAATACAATAAATTGAGATTTCACCGTAGTAAAACTTTTTCTCCCAATTTTGAGGACAGTAGCGAAACAGACCCCTGTGTAGCATGTTGTATAATGTTGACACATATTTGGTTACTGTTTTACATGTGCCAATGCTGAATGATCATAAGGAAGATGCCAGTAATGAACTGCTGACACTGATCCTTGGAGCAATCTCAAAGTTTGCCACATTTCAATTTCAAAATGCATTTCAGCTATAATATGAGTGATTTATCACTTAGTAGTAGCTGTCAAAGTAATCTCCTACATAAACCAAAAACATCTGGAACCATAAACAGAGAGGAGTAGTAGCTGAATTTTAATCCAGACCCAGTGTGCTCGCTTCATTAGGAACAGGAAACAGCTAATTAGTAATGGAATGTTTCATGTTCTTATAAGGGTTTGTTCTTGAGCTCTAAACAGAGATGATCTGATATGAACTCTGGATGTCAATAAGATTAAAGATCAGGAAGAGAAACTAACAAAGTCTCTCCAGGGGAATGTTACCGAGCTTGAGAACTTAAAAAGAGGGACACACACTGACATTTGGGGAGAGCTGACAGAGTTTATTGCTTTGGGATTTATCAGATAGGTAAAAAGGGGAATTTGATACATACAAATGTGACCATTTTTAAAGTAAAAACAAAAGTCCATGTAATCCTTCCTTTAGCACAGCACTGCCTGACATGGGCATATGCCATGACACAGAAGGTCAGTGTGGACACTCCACACAGGAGATGAACCTCTCCTAATCAGTTGAGTTATCTTTACTGGGCCACAAATAGCTGCTCCAAACTCAAGTAAATGTGAGACTTGCCCTGTGGTATATATCCTAAGCCTATGAGCCGGAATAGCTAAAATCATGTATCATAAACAAGGCAGATATATGGGAAAAGGCCAGAAAAAAATACACATGAGGAGTCCTCATAGTTCAAACAAGGTAAGTTAAACTTATCTACTTATTTAAACAAAAGACACTAGTTTATTTTGAAGTAACTTAATTTGGAAATTCCATTTAATGATGAGACTTTCTTGGATGTTATATTTTTAGTCACCTGTCACTGTTATTTATTTCAGATATTTGATATTAATAAAAGTTTTTATTTGACTTGCTTCAATCCTTCTCCATGACTTATTTCTAATTTGGCATTATTTCACTGAATTGGGCTAAAACAGTATACCTACTCTATATAAGCAGACCTTCTACAGCCCATGAAGAATACCAGAATCCAAATGCTTATGCTTTAGAAAACATTCCTTCAGAGCTTGGAATTACTGAAATGTCACATCGATATGAATTAATGTAATATTTTTAAGTGTTTAGAGTGGGTGGCCATTCCGGCAGAAATTGCATGTACTGCCATGGGGAACCTCTTACTAGAAAATGGATAAAAACTCAGTTGGCTTTTTGCAGGAGATGCTTGGTGCTTCTGTCACATCAGAACTTAATGCTAGGGCAGACGTGAAAACAACACAATGGATTATATATTGTTTAATATAAGGAGGGCACTTTAGGAGGAGCATTAAATCTTTTTGATCATTAGAGTACCATATAACACATTGGAATGCTGCTCTATTAGATTTTTAGTAGGCATCAAAATAATGATAACAGGTATCTGCCCCCAGCCAATGGTCAGATCTCCTCTAAGTAAACAGTTAAAAATATTTGAGGCCATTTCCTGGGCAATTCAAGCCAAATGTTCCTAATCATTTGAACATGTTAGGAATCTGGCTATGTCTAGACCAGAGAGTGAACAGTATAAAATATCCATAATCTCACTGACCCATCTTTCTCTTTTCTTATGCCTATAGATTTTTCATTCTGTTTGCTTGTTAATAGCTTAATAAAGAGGAAGCAAGATTGGGGATGGGAGGAGAGAAGAAAATAGTAAAGGGGTATTTTTAGCAGCTTGGGTATCTGTTTTTATCATTGCATTCTTTACAAATCAGGAATGTGCTAGTAGAAAGGGGTTAAAGGACTTGCTCCACCATCAACAGTTCAAAGGAAAAACTGGGTGTGGTAAAATCTAAAAACTAGAGCTCCTTATATTTTCTTAGAGAACACTACAGGCCAAGTGTTTCTTTTAGAAATGAGAGCTCCAAAGCAGTGATAACAAATATCGATCATTTGCACAAATGATTCACCACCTGATATAATTCCTGTTAAATACCAGGTCAGACAAGAAGTTATTTCACAGTAATTGCAGCTTAAAGTAGGTGTGCCTGCATTTTAATTTGTCTCACACCATTTAGAAATAGCATTTTCTCTGTCTTAAAAATTCTTCCACCTACTTACCCCACTAGGATTCTGTGTGAATTAATGTGATAATGTTTTTGAAGCACTATGAACTAACTCCTTGAAAGAAAGAGGTTAAAGAAGTGTAAAATGTGTTCAGTCATTATTATGACTATCCCCTAAAAACCTGTGAAACCCATTCTCTAGGACATTTTTCCTGTATGTGTAAGGTTCTATTTATCAGTAATGAACAAACAGTAATTAAAGGTTCCATATTTTAAGGATTTGAGTATGAATTCTAAATAATTTACAACACTAGATAAGCAGGTAACTGCTACAGCACCCTATTCGTGCCTATGATCAGTTGGAGTTCCGGCATCAGTGTTCAGGCTGCACAGAAAAAACAATAAGACCTGGTCAAAATTTCATTCGAACAAAGAAAATTCAAAATCTACTCAATGCACTTCACTGAAAACCACAAACTCACTTTATAGTATTTCGCTGTGCTATATATGTTCAAGATTTGAATATATCTCTCGCAATTAATGTATTATTTTATTAGGTTTATCCCTTAATCAAATATTCATTTATATGAGTCTCATTTTATTAAAAATGAAATTATACAAAAGTGAGCAAAAGCGTAGATTTACAGTAGTTTAAAGCTTAATCTTATTCTCTAGGGGTGATATTGACAATATAAATATGGCGTAAATGATATTCCCTAACTCTAAAATATGCTTATGAGCCCCTTGTGCATGTTCTTCTTCTTTACAACCTGCAGCAAAATGCGTAACTAGCTTAATAAGCAAGGCATTTAGGAATTGTTTTTTCCTCCACAGTCTAAAACATTAGTAAAGGCCTATCCTGTTTTTTGTGAGTCAAAATCTTTGCTAATGACCACAATGTTCCCTCAGTATGAGATTTCCTTCCCTGACAGGATGGTTATTCGAAAGTAATTGCTCACTTTTTATTTTTCAAAAAACTACCAAGAACTGTATCTATAATGTGTTTAGAGGTTTATATTTACAATAAAATGCATTTGTGATTTTTCCTACCCAAGGTTCATGTTTGCTTCCAAATGTCTCCTCACCAGTTGTTTACCTCTATAAACAATGGGACTGCAATGAGAACTAGTAGAATTCACACAGGTGTACTTTAGGCTATCAAACCTTTCTTTTGAGGTAGCTAAGCTATTCTTGAACTATTGGCAATATTTTCTAATCTATGTTTTCTTTATGTTGCTTAATTAGTGCTGTGCTTCTGATTTACAAATGGGCACTATATAATTTAGCAGCAAGTAAGATAATCTCTTGAAGGTCATGTTTTCCTAACCTGAATAAGAAAGAGATAAAATAATATGCTAGTTAATGCTCCACTTGTTTTCCACTTCAGTCTTAGATTCAATCCTAATTAAATGTAGAATTAATTGTAGAAACTCAACTTTAGTTGTGGAAATATGTTCAGAACATGATATTCTCAAATCAAAGAAGTGACAGTAGTGAGGTTAGTTTGGGATCCAGTCGGTTATTATTGCAGTAGTATAAATATGAGTTACTAATTCGAAAGTAGGAAAAGCAGACAATTGCAAGCAAGGGGAAGATATAATACACTGTTTGATTACTCTTTGTCTAGAGAAGAGTACTATTTTGGAATCATTTTTTTTTCAGAAAGTTCTAGTGTTTATTTTTAGAACATGACATATTTTTTTAAAAACAGAGGTTTCTTGAAAATAACCATTTGGGCTCATTAGCCTTAAAAATATCTGACTTACAATTTATTCAAAATGAAGATCAGGATAGGTCAATAGGTCATCTTTTTTGTGCAAATGGTGTCATAATGGAGTATCAAACTATCTTACTTGTAATGCACCCTGGTTTTGTGAAATAATTATTTAATACATCCCTTTCCCCTTTATTGAATCTCTAGTTCTTAGAAAACATACCCTAAAAAGGAAGCATGAATGCCCTTCTGCTCACACATGGGGATAAAATGTAGAGATGTCATTAACCATAACTATCTATGGGAGAGCACACTCTTTAGAGGAAGTTTTACACATCACTTATAGGCCAAATAGTTCCCTCCTACTGAAATCAACATTAGAAAACAAAATCAAATCTGAGTGTATTTTATAGGGCACAGTAATAATGATATCTTGTACTCGCCATACTTATCAGATAGTATGTATCTAACTTATTGATGAGGAAGAATAGGCAAGTATTATGATACCTATTTTACTAAAGTTAAGGCAGAGAGAAGGTAAATGACTTCTCAAGGTTAGTAACTGAGTTAGCGAGTTAGTAACTGAGAAATTCTGACTAGTAGATCAGTGCTCTTTCTGCCACTTCATTGTGCCTCTCACATACTGGTTATAAAATGGCAATAGAAGTGCACATGTCCAGTACAGAGATCTGCAACTGTTGAGCCACATTAAGAGCTTTAGAAGTACTGAAATTCTATTTTTCATCTGAGAAGAGAGAGAAAGGGAGAGAAGAATAAATAAAAACTAACACGTATGGAACACTATGTCAGGAGCCACTCCACATGTACATATGGCATATATGGAATGCCATCCTCTTTCATTATTTTCTTGTTGTGGATAATGCTACAGTGAAAAGTGTGAATTATGTTTCTATGCCATTTCTCTAAATCTCTAAATAATCTGAGATCAAGTCCCCCACTTTCCATAAGCATATAAGTTACAAAATGTTTTTTCTTCTTCTTTTTTCCTTTTTTTTTTCTGAGACAGAGTCTTGCTCTGTTGCACAGGCTGGAGTGCAGTGTTGTGATCTCAGCTCACTGCAGCCTCCGCCTCCCAGGTTCAAACAATTCTCCTGCCTCAGCCTCCCAGGTAGCTGGGACTACAGGCGTGTGCCATCACACCTGGCTATTTTTTGTATTTTTAGTAGAGACTAAAAATTTCTCCATGTTAGCCAGGCTGGTCTCAAACTCCATACCTGAGGCAATCCACCTGCCTCGGTCTCCCAAAGTGCTGGGATTACAGATGTGAGCCACCGCACCTGGTCACAAAATGTTTCTTAAAAGTCTAATTGATTTGAGTTTTGTACAGGATGCAGATTGGAAATATTTTAGGTAACATTTTAAAGTATAGTTAAGTTCTATTTTTAAATAACTTTTAACTACTACTTTTGTCTGCTAAACTGATAGAAGAACACTATAATACTCGATTTTAAACAAATCAAAATATAGAGGAAAGTGAAAAATGAAAGTAATGGATAAACAAATATTAACTTGTACAATGTTAAAAATGATGACATCCAACATTTCCCATAGAAGGTTGAAATGCAGTTACCAGGAAATAGTAAGATTTGAGGGTTTATTAGTTCTCTCTATTGAGAGTTTTTCCTCACTCATTATTAAATGGTTGCTCACAGATGCTGAGATCAACATTGCATTTATTCATTTTTATTATTTTAATGAAAACAAGAGCACTTAGACATTTGTGAAATGTTGCAGGAAGTCAGGGATCCTGAATGGAGGGACTGGCTGGAGCCGTGGCAGAGGAACATAAATTGTGAAGATTTCATGGACATTTATCAGTTCCCAAATGATACTTTCATAATTTCTTACCCCTGTCTTACTTTAATCTCTTAATCCTGTTATCTTCATAAGCTGAGGATGTACATCACCTCAGGACCACTGTGATAATTGTGTTAACTGTACAAATTGATTGTAAAACATGTGTGTCTAAACAATATTAAATCAGTGCACCTTGAAAAAGAACAGAATAACAGCGATTTTCAGGGAACAAGGGAAGACAACCATAAGGTCTGACTACCTGTGGGGTTGGGCAAAATAGAGCCATATTTTTCTTCTTGCAGAGAGCCTGTAAACGGATGTGGAAGTAGGGAAGATATCGCTAAATTCTTTTGCTAGCAAGGAATATTAATAATGAATACCCTGGAGAAGAATGCATTCCTGGGGGGAGGTCTATAAACGGCTGTTCTGGGAGTGTCCGTCTTATGCGGTTGAGATAAGGACTCAAATACACCCTGGTCTCCTGTAGTACCCTCAGGCTTACTAGGGTGGGGAAAAACCCTGCCCTGGTAAATTTGAGGTCAGACTGGTTCTCTGCTCTCAAACTCTGTTTTCTGTTGTTTAAGATGTTTATCAAGACAATATGTGTACTGCTGAACATATACGCTTATCAGTAATTCTGCTTTTGCCCTTTGCCTTGTGATGTTTGTTGGGCCCTTATCAGGAGTTTCTGATTTTGCCCTTGTCCTGTTTCCTCAGAAGCATGTGATCTTTGTTCTCCTTTTTGCCCTTTGAAGCATGTGATCTTGTGACCTACTCCCTGTTCTTGCACCCCCTCCCCTTTTGAAATCCTTAATAAAACTTGCTGGCTTTAAGGCTCAGGTAGGCATCACGGTCCTACCAATATGTGATGTCACCCCCGGTGGCCCAGCTGTAAAATTACTCTCTTTGTACTCTTTCTCTTTATTTCTCAGCCAGCCGACACTTATGGAAAATAGAAAGAACCTATGTTGAAATATTGGGGGCGGGTTCCCCTGATAGTGAAAGAACAGGAAGATAAGAAAGAAATGTTTGTAAAATAATGATGCTTTCTTGAAAGCTAATAAAGTAATTGGTGGAAATGTTGCTCCAAAAATCATTTGCATTACTGACAAAAAGTAGATTCCAGCTGAAGTATGTGGATCATTACCAATGTTAATTTTCAAATATTAAAAAAGTAAAATGTAAACTTGAAAGGGTCAAGAGGTTAGGGGCCTTAAAGGAGTTGTGTATAAAATCCAAAAGAATGTTTTTCTTTAAATTCATTTTAATTTCCAAAAGGTAATGTTACATGTCTATTATAAATGAAAAATAAGTTCCCTAGAACAAATAAATAAAACTTTATGCTAATGCTGCATAAGGAATCCCAGTCTAAAATTAGTTAAGTGGCTGGGAGTGGTGGCTCACACCTGTAATCCCAGCATTTTGAGAGGCTGAGGCGGGTGGATTACCTGAGGTCAGGAGCCTGAGACCAGCCTGAACAACATGGTGAAAATTCAAAGTTAGCTGAGTGTGGTGGCCCACACCTGTAATCCCAGCTACTTGGGAGGCGGAGGCAGAAGAATCGCTTGAACTTGAGAGGCAGAGGTCGCAGTGAGCCGATATGCCACTGCACTCCTGCCTGGGTAACAAGCATGAAACTCCGTCTCAACAAATAAAAAAAAATAAAATGTAAAATTAGATAGCAAGGCTCTGTTGGAATCTAGTTCTGACAGACAGAGTGAAGTGAGTTTAGTAAGAATAAAAAAGTTTATTTCTGTTACTATTTCAGCTACTCCACACAGTTTTAAATAGAAAAGGGAGTTGTGTGGTATTTGTCTAAATTTTATAAATATTACCCCAATCTTTATAAACTTTTAAAAACAGAGGTGATTATTAAATTACACCCGGTTTTAGACTATTTCGTTTAATTAACTATGATGTAAAGAAGCCTCTGCCCTTTCCCTGAACCCCAATGCACTGTTTTGCATGGGAAAATACTATAGTCTTGTTACATATCCTAACTAGCTAACTATGTGAGATTTTTACAAGAATGGATTGATAGTGATGCACAGTGAGATAAATGAGTGAGAGTTAAGATTCCTGTGTTTTAGTTCCCACTGTCAATGGCAAGCAAATTAACTTAGGTTATTTTCATACTTACAAAACAGAAGTTAATCACATCTTTCCAAACTACCTCCCAGAAATAATCCTCCTAGAGGATATTATTTAAAGGATAACACAAAGTACACCATGCTATACATATAATAGGTCCTGCCTTTCTTTTTTCACTATTCCAATTTTAGGTTATGAATTCCTCATTCTCAGAATGATGAGTATCTTGGAACAGAACCTCCACAGATTCGTGTGGTAGCAATACCATAATTTTAATTTTTAAGGTACTATGAAAATGATGGCATATGATTACAGTCTTCTATGAAAATGCTGTTTGTTTTATTTATTAAAACACAAATGTGGAAGTAAAAAAGTAAAACTTGACTTAGTCTTTTAATCAGGAAAATGTTTTTCCTTTTGCATGTCCTTCAGGTATACCTAGGTTGGGGTTGGCATATGGTGAATCCCAAGCTTAAAAAATTGTATTGTATATATAAACAGGATGGGGCATAAAGTAACTGGTCAAGCAGTTATCAGAGTTAAGTTAAACAGCCCTTCCTAGATTATAGTAAAAAACACCTGTTAATTAGTGAATTACTCCTGTAGACTCAACATGCTGACTAGCAGAACAACTTATCATGGCTGGCAAGTCTCACTATTTGCTATCACTGCAATTTGATCTGTTATATAATTAACATGTAGCTAGAACTGCACGTCTTTGATCTGTATATGAGATTGTATGTTACCATCATAATTACCATGACAGTCTTGTGGTCACTGAAAATATTTTTGTTAACAATGCATGTGTGTGGTGCAAGCGAATCCTTGACAACCAGGCCCTGAACGATTAAGTAATTAATGTGAGCTCTTCCCATCCTCCTAAGAAAAAATTAGAAGTATAATGTGTACTATGGTCTGACAGATATTTCACAGCAGAGAGGTACCACCAGTCAGGATAAAAATCCTGTGGAGGATGAAGAAAGGAGAAAATACTTTCTGAGAAAGAAAATAAAAAGACACAGGCCATTTAATAAACTGTACAGAAAAAATTTTTGCTGCTTTAGAAAAAGATGCTGGGATCTTCTCTGTGGGTTGTGTGCTAGAGTCTTTTCCCATTGTATCATTGTCATTGCAATAAAGTTTCTCTAGGAAATAAAAGGATCCTACTCTTCAAGGAAGCATTTAAAAGAAAATTTTTAAGACCTACTTCCCACAATTCCTCTGGTCTCTGACTTGCTATATACCTCCAATTTATAAGAAAATATTTTCACTTTACAATGGGAACATCAGAGTACCTGTGTATATCTTCCAACACAGTACCGGGCATCAATGGGAGGGAAATTAATAATTAATGGTTGGTGAGTTTAGGGTAGGAAGCAGTCAGTGGAACCCCTAGAGATAGAGAAAGATGGAGAGCACACTGTGGTGGAGGAAATTAGAAAAGTCTATAATAAAATTCCATCTGTTCTCCTTTTAGTTTCTCTTGTCATATCACATACATGGCAATAAATCATATGCGATTTATTTTTTCTGGCTCCCTTTCACACTCTTACTATCACTTTTTCTTACTATTCTTCCAAATTCTACAATGATAATCCTATTCCAAGGGTAGTTGTTTTTAGGAAATATTGGCATGGCATCTTAACTTCTTGGGAGGAATGTTGTTTTAGGTTAGTAAGCAAGTGCCAAAGAGAAAAGATAATAAGGAGGTCTAAGGGGTCAAGGAAGGATAGACACTGTTCAAATTGATTTTGAGAGAATTGATAAAAATAGACATATTCACATATATTTTATATTATGAATATATATTAAATGTTCTACGCCATAAGGTATGCATATTAACTTATGCCCTAAATTGTAAATTTTAATATATTATAATAGATGTTAAAATGATATTTGCTGCTTTTGCAGTCAAATGACACTTTTTTTGTTTTTAATTCTTCAGTGGCAGCTTCATCAGTTACTGCATAGATGAGATCATGACTTTTATATCTTTGAATGGCCAGTCTGTACTCTTAATAAGATCCCTTTTTTCTGAGCAAAAATGGTTCAGGAAAAAAAAAAGGTCTAGTAGGTTTACTTTTACATCAAATTTTGGTTTCCTTTCACATGTAGATTTGACTTAATATCTACTTCTAGTGTGTCAGTAGCAAAAGGAATAAAAAATTATTTAGGATGCCACCACATTTATGGAAAAAATATCAGAGGAAAATATATTCCAGTGCTAAATCATCTTGTGTCTTTGTCAAACATGTATACATAAAATAAAATGTAAAAATTATTCACAGAAATTGACATTCCATGGGCAAAACACAGTTACTCATTTTGTGGTTTATTTTTTTTCCCCAAACAAATGCAGTGGCAGATACAGGGGCAGTATGTCACTGTGCCCTTGTACTTTATGACGTTATCTCCCCTGAACTTTAGTATTTTATTTTATTACTATAAAGTCAGTTCATGATGGCAGTTGTCTATTTTCTAAAATGTAGGAGCTTCATATTCTGTTTTTGTTTTACCTATTGTTATTAAGATGTTAACTTCATTTTTTTTAAATTTAGGAAACATGCACTGTCTACTATACCACTAGCCACTAACAATGAAATATAGCCATACACAAGTTAACTAAGGTATAAACATGCAAAAGGAGAAGTCTCCCTGAGATCATAAAATGATGTTATTTTCTGTTCAGCAGTTCATGTTACTGCTGTTCATGCTAATTAATTAAAGGAGCTGTTGCAGTAATGTGCAAACAGGGAATCTGAGAAACTGAGAGGGTTTTTAGGTCTCCAAGTGAAGTTAAGTCAATCTGGGCGCAGGCAATCAAATGTAATGAAATCACTTGTCAGTGCTAAGCTTGCAAAAACTGTGAAGTTTGACTGGGGAGTAAAAGGATTATAATTAGATTTCCAATAGGATAATAACTAAATGGCAGAATGCAGTAAAAAGAAATATTACTTTGTTAGCTAATGGTACTGCTGTTCAGTTTTAGTTTTTATCAGCACACTTGTAGTTGTGCTAATTTAATTTGCTTTTATCAGCAAAAATGCACTATGCAAATGGCACTTGAATGTCATTTGCAAAAATATCATTGATCTGAAGGTGCACTTAATGACACTCGGTATGTTTATTTTATGTGAAACAGGGATTGGTTGATAAGATGGTTGATGTGCTATCTTGCAGGCCCTCAACTGAGTTATAGGAATTTGGATGGAATGACATTAGCACAAGTGCTCCACCAAATCCTTCATCTCTAGAGATAGTGGACATAACCATTGGAGTAGTATATACACATTGCGTGATCACCAGAAAACATTCTGTAGGAGTTGCTATGGTAGACTCCGAAAATATAAAGATACAGATATCCTTTTATGGAAACTTGGTCTATGCATATTATCGTCTCTGTCAAACAACATTCAAAGCATAAAAGACATGAAATAACCAAGCTGAAGAGATGTATTATATACATATAATGTATTACATGTAATACATTATATAGGATACATTATGTATATATACTATATATAGTAAATATATATAAAATCTTATATATATAAGATTTCTGGTACATGTGCAGTTTGTCTGCACTAAAACCCATGTGGAAATTACCATAAAACTGGATATTACTTTTTTGCTTCCAGGAGTGGCCATGTAATGTTTTTCCAAGTGCCTTTTAAATTCTTAAGATGTCACAGTGGAATCAACTGAATCTCAAAGGGAGAGTACTAGGTGAATGATAGATTTCTATCTAGGAGAGCTATTGAACAACAGGAAGAGAAAGAACTTTACTGATGCTGGAATTATTTCCTGTGATGGAGATGAATTTTGGAAATGGTATTGCATTGGTATACATGAACTGACTCTCACAAACAATGATAGGAAATGATCTTCCAAGTTAAAAAACAGGTTTCAAGGGAGATGGAAAAGATTAAAACAGTATCAAAATGTCACAAAAAAGAACTATAACTTACAAAATCAAAATTATTAGGAAGAATAGAAAAATAATGGCTAAGCTTGCATTTCATGTTTTCCAACATTATACATTTTCTGAGTTTCACAGATACATTCAAAAGTAATGTTTTTATTACTTTTTATTATTTTACAAATAATAGGCAAAATGATTGGGATTTTTAGATAATTATTTGACCTGACTGATTTGGTAAACTCTATTTAAGATTAGTTCTGATAATATTTGTAGGCACCTATTTTCCTGGCTAAAAGAATAAAACATTATTGCTAAATTTTTTTGATTAAATTGTGATTCTACTGTCATATTAACATAAGACATTAACTATAGTTTTTCATAAGGAGATGATAGGGGCTTTATCATTTACAGTGCTTAAATGTCGTGCAAAGAGAAGCGATAATGTGTATTTTTCCATTTTTATCACATTTATGTGGAACCTTATTTAATGTAATATAAAAGACAGACATCCAATAAAGAATTATTAACCTACCATATTTTACCATATATAGACAATGTTAAAGACAAATACTAGACAGTGTCATTTTTAATTTGGAAAAAAATACAAACCAATTTCTTTGCTTTAAAATAAATTACATCTCATTCCTTTTAAGATGAATCTAACTATCTCATATTTAGCAAGTAAAAACTTGTAGAACTTATTAAAAGTATGCACAATGAAAACAAGTATTAAATGTGTCCTTTCCTAAGTGCAAGTAAATATGCAAAATCCATTCTTGGTAGACTTCATAAAAGAATTTGGAAACGAAGAGTGGATCTACCTTTTGCTTATATCTCCTAATTGCCCACGAATAAAATATCACTACTTGTTACATGGAAATGAAATAATTTTAGGACAGTTCAAAAGCTTGTATTTCTCTCAGAGTTAAGAAAGATGTTACTACTATGAACTAAAGGTATCATATAAATTAAACAAAGAGCAATAAATCAGAGGTGCAGGTTAAAAGATAATAAAGATAAAACTCACTAGTGGTGTATTCGGATTACCCTCTCCAGTTCCAAAGCTGACCTTAAACCCACTCAAAGCAGGGCACAATCAAGTTCAATGTTCCTTAAAGACTATGTCTATATTTGCATGTCACTGATTCAGAAGGGATCAAATGCTTCAGGCTATTCATCTCTACCATGGAGCTGGTATATGATGGTAACCTCAAATACCAGGCCCACAACTAGTGGGGCACTTCTTAGTGAATTTTGCTGTGATGAATTGGTTGGACAAACACTGAATCCCATTTGAATTGGTTTTGCTCATATAGACACAGCCTTTAAGCTGAGGGAATAAAGTAGGCAAGCAAAAAAGGGATAAGAACCAGCAAAAGCTTCATCGAATGAGTTAAGCATGCATGCTTTTACACCTAACATAGTGCATTAGTTAGGTCTACCCACCTGCAACAGAATCATGCATCACTAGAGTATCCATGAGAGCTAACATTTCTGGTTTTATAAAGATGACTTGTAAAACTACATGTAAAACAACTTATGAAGCTACCACATAAAATGGTGACTCTTAGATGAACCCAAATGGATATTTTGGTCACATCCAGTTCTGTTGCCTTTATGAAGATCCACTCATCACATAGGAGAAAGGCACTGATTAATTCCAGCGAGCAACATATTCATAGTTGTCTTCTTTTTTCAAAGTTAGGAAATAGTTTTCTCATAAAAATGTTCTTTATTTTTTATTAGAGTTAGGCATTTTATCACAATAAATGTGAAAATAAATGTAATCTGCATGCAAAGGTCTAGAAGTGCATTGGAATCACACTGGAAAATTTTCAGTGGTCACATTTAACTCATTTTTATGTGCTTTTGCACTCCAGTGAGACTCTATATTGATTTGTTTCATCTGTTTTCTTACTACTAAATATTTTCAAATATTTTTAAAGATGTAAGCAATTGTGATAATCATGTAAATCACGAATTATAAGTCATGTTCTGATTTTCATACTTAAGTGGTCTCTAAGATTAACATCAAAATTTAAAGGATGAAAAAAATGTTGTCTTGAATACCTTCAAAATTTTGATAGGTTACAATGATTGTACCTGTGGCTTTTACAAACAGCAAAGTGGTGAAATTACAAAAATACCTCATGGTATTGTACACTTTTAAAAGATAAATTACATTCACATTTATGCATTTTTAGAATATGCCTGACATACAAATGTGTATTCTTTTTACAGCTACATGTATTTGCTCACATTGTATATGTAAAATTATTAGTCCCTCTGTAACCAGAGTTATTGGGTTTTCAAAGCCATGTTAAGTATTTTTTTCTCAAAAAACTGCAAATTGCTTCCTGTGTCATAAAGTAAGAAGTGTCAAAACTTATTTATTTTATTTATATGAAGAGTATCATCACAGAAGCTCATCCCCACCTCATCCCCACCTCATCCCCAGGGGTCACATATTAAGCAGTCAAAGAAAGAAGTTTTCAGTTGACTGTACCTTGCATAGCAGCACTATCATGAGGAGTCCCATTGTTTTCTATTTCAATATCTGGAATTCCAGTATCTGAAATAAATGACATGCAAGATTAATATACAATTAGGTGGTTCCTGATTCCATTTAAAGGGAAAACTCCAGTAAGCCAGTACTTTGGTCCTATAGATAACATAAGACCTTGGGTGGCATTTTTGTTTTTTGTATGTCTGTTTGTTTTTAATGGTAGGAGGGATGATTATAAACTGCAGCTGAATTTTACAATTGAGCATATATTTCTAGGTATATTGTAAATACCTCTATTTTTTTTATTCTTTAAAAATAAATCTTAGGAAAATAGTCTGTCCATTAAAACCTCCTAAGACTATCAGGTTAACTTGCCCCCATCCTCATGGTATATGTTCCCTTTGTAAGATGTGATTGATAATATTTATGATATATATATAATCATATATATACACATATTTATATATATGTGTATATATATAAATATGTGTATATACATATATGTGTGTGTATATATATATATAGTAAGTGCAACTGAATACCAAAATACTCATTATGGTTTGTGGTCTTCATGTAGTACTGGCTCTAGGGACAAATGTTTTATGATTGTGCTGTTCAGGTAAAAGCTAGTAATTTTGATGTAAAAAGGTTCTGTTTGTGTGTGTACATATTTACTTGAACATTTACTTGAAATTGGGTCTGAGTGAGATGAAACAATGTTATGAGGCCTCAGAATTAAAAATGGAAGCAGAAAAGTTTGGAATTAAGATCTTTCATAATTCAAGCATCTCCATTTACAGGATCTGCAGGGATTTACTTAGAACATGTTTTTTCAACCTGGTACTCCTTAGGCATGGCAACACTGATGCAATCTGCATTAAAGGAACAAGCATTGTATAGCTAATCACAATACAGTTCACCAAACATCAGCATATTCTAACAGGAATGGACCTAACCCACCTACATTTTAGGTGCAGGGTGGTTATCAGTGTTATTGCTTCTACTGCAAAAGTCAGTAGGACTTCCTATTATTCCAAGGCTATTTGTTTCTCCTGAACAGTGATTATTTTGACTGGATTTAATTCATGATCTAAAACACTTGGCCTCAAATTGATTTTTTAATCATTCCTGGACAAAATATGTCTGTGTTTCCCTCTCTCCCTTCCTTTCTTTCTGCCTTCCTCTCTTTTTATTCCTTCTTCTATTTTTCTTCAATCAGTTTTGCTTTGTTTACCTTGAGTGTGAAAATCCAAATCAGACATTACCTTTTAACATCCTCAGGCCACTGTCACTAGTGGTGGCTTGCTTAAGTGCCTGCTCCACTTGCTCCCGGCGCTTTGATTCAAATTCCAAGGCTTCCTGCAATTTTCTCTTGGTTTTTTTCTCCTTCTTCAGGCGCTTTTGCATAGTAGCTGAAATGTAAAAGGTAGTTTGCAAAGACTTGAGCAATGAAATAGGGATGCCAGTTTTGATGAATTATAAGCCACAGATATAAGTATAGATAAAGAGAGATATAGAAATATTTCACTTGACATATGATTAGCGTTCTTTTGGTACTAATGCTCATTAGGGTCATCTAAGGAGTGCTTTATTTACTGTATTTCAGTCATACAACTGACTTCTTTCTATTTTCACATTTCCAGAGTGTATGTTCTGTAATACACATGCATTTGTATGATGGTGGTAGTGGTGGTGGAGAATTGTCTTCTACTTTGACTCTCTATATGCATTTAATGATTCTTTAAACATTTTGTAATCCTCTTAAGAAAAATATTCTTATTATTCATCAGGTTACTGATTACTATTCATATTTCAAAACGCAAAAATAATCCTGAAAATATCTATTAGGTTGCAAAATATAGTCTTTAAAACTGAAAATGGCAAGTGTCCATTTATCTGAAATGTTACCAGTTCTAAAGGGAAATATCTGTCTGTTTAATGTACATATCATCAGTCTCTCTCTCTCTCTGCCTCTCTCTTGCTCTTTCTCTGTATGTGCATATACAGTCATAGGCTGCATAATGAGATTTCCGTCAATGATGGACCGCATATACAATGGTGGTTCCATAAGATTATAATGGAGCGCGAAATTCCTATCACCTAGTGACACTGTAGTCATCCTAATGTCCTAGTGCAATGCATTACTAGTGGGTATGTGGTGATGCTGGTGCAAATAAATCTACTGTGCTGCCAGTCATAAAAATAAACTTTCAAGTAAGAAAAACACTTTTATCTCTATTTTATAGATGAAGAACCTGAGTCCTTGACAGGTCAAGAAATTTACCCAAGATAACATAGCTACTAGTTTTCAAAGCCTGAACAAAGCCTGAAGACCAAAGATCACATAGGTAGTTGTTTCAAAGCCGAAGGACCATATAGTTGGCCAGGGGACCAAGGTAAGTGACCTCCAAGGTTTCATGTAGCTATGTTATCATTATTATTATTATTATTACTATTATTATTATTACCATTATTATTATTATTATTTGAGATGGAGTCTTGCTCTGTCGCCCAGGCTGGAGTGCAGTGGCACAATTTCGGCTTACTGCAACCTCCGCCTCCCGGGTTCACGCCATTCTCCTGCCTCAGCCTCCCGAGTAGTTGCGACTACAGGCGCCCACCACCACGCCCAGCTAATTTTTTTTTTTTTTTTGTATTTTTAGTAGAGATGGGGTTTCTCCGTGTTAGCCAGGATGGTCTCAATCTCCTGACCTCGTGATCCTCCCGCCTCAGCCTCCAAGATATCTTGGAGAATATTTCCATTAGTATTGAAAATACCCCCAACATAATATTCACTCTGTAATTGAACTTGTAAAACTTACTTCTGCTTTGAAGCTCAACTGCAAGTTGTCTTTCAAGGTTTTCTCTAATTTCTCTCTCTCTATAGAGCTCCAGTCGCAGCTCCTTCTTTTCTTGTTGAATCTGCTTCTCCTGGATGCGAGCATTATCCAAAGCAACTTTCAGCAGACCCTGTCAAGGTACAGGAAATGACATGCAGTTCATCTTATCTGTTTTAATTTATCAAATATAAAATAATATATGTAGGTGCTAATGTCTTGTATTACATTTATTTTGTTTATAGAAATATTGTTGACCTGAATGTTGGTCAACAGAGTCTCCACGGAGGACAGACTATCAGCAAAAATGAATGGTCCAGGGAATCCAGCGGGCAATGCCTGCCCAGGAGTCAGCTGTATCTTGTCCAAGGGTGACTTCATTATTGGAATTTGAACTGGTACCTCTTCTGCAAAAACAAAATTAGTATCAGAAGGTTCACAGATTAAGAGCTCAAAAGTCTCACTAAGCCACCTCTACTAAGCATCTATAAAGATTTTGTTTCTAAAACTAAATGACTGACATTCTCATAATTAGAAGTCATATTTATTCTCCAGCTGCCTCTAATTTCAAAAAATAAATATTTCAGTAAAGAACTTGTGAAACTGAAACAATGCTTATGGCTAAAGAGGTATGAAATCTGGAGAAAAAACTTAAGATACATACAATTGACAATATGTGCTTATGAATATCTATAAATTAAATATTCAGATCACTTCCTGGAAAAACAAGCAACATTTTATTTTTTCCTCTCTAAATCTATTAATCAATCAATTTATTTATCTTGATTATTTTAACAGCTTTATCAAAAAATAATTTACATACAATAAAATTCACCTATTTTAAGTATACACTTCATTTTTAGTAAATTTCTAGAGTTGTCTAATCATTACCACAAACCTATTTTAGAACATCTTAATTTCCCCTATAAAGACTCCTCATGTCCATTTACAGTTAATCTTCTTTCCCACCTCAGCCCCTAAAAACCATTAATCTGCCTTATCTCCAAAGATTTGCCTTTTCTGAATGTTTCATATAAATAGAATCCTACGATACATGGTTTTTTTGTGCCTGGCTTCTTTCTCTTAGCATGTTTTTTAAGCTTATCCATGTTGTGGCAGGTATCAGTAGTTTATTTTTATTGCTGAATAGTATTTTGTTTCATGAATATACTAGCTTGCGTTTAAACATTTTCTAGTTGATGACTATTTGGATTGTTTCCAGTGTTACTTTTTATTTCATGGAATATCCCTTATCAGAAAATAACACGTATGACATAAAATCACAAGTTACATCTATTCTCTCTTTTATTTTTATGTTGTATTCTTCAATATTCTCATTACTCTATAAAGAGCTATGAGTAGAATTTTTGTTTATAAATATGTTTTATATTTGCTTTAAAACAGATATACCTAATTATAAAGGGAATCCCCTCCTACTTTGAGAACCCTGAATACTTGGTTATTCTGGCTGACAGTCTTTCATATGACCTGTACGAATTAGATAAATTTTCTTCTGTAACTACGTATGTAAAAAGAAACTGCCACAGAGAGGTAATCTCGGGATGTTAACGAAAGAAATTCAGTTACTCTTAGTTGAGTTCATCAGCAGTGCATGATGGGGTGAATCATAGCACCTCAAACAGTTATGCTGCTCACTGGAGTATCTTAATTTCAGCAAGAGAGCACAGGCAAAGTTTAAAAAGTATGCATCTCTCTGGTCAGAAAAAACATTCAGTGACTCCATATATTCTAATGAGACTCACTCAAGAAAAAAGACTTGGCTTAAATCTAGACATAACCAATTTCACATGGTTTGGAAACAAAAAAAGATGTCTATTGGTTCTGGTTCCTATAGGTATGGAATATGGACTTCATTTTCCTATTGCAAGCAGCCTACATATGCAGTGTGCAGAGTCTTGAGCCCCATTAATTTAACAGTTACCTTTTGCTGTGGAATTTCTTGTGTGGCAAGTTGTGCCATTCATTTGTGGGAAACTTCAGTGAGATTATTTAGTACTATCTCTGAATAAAAGGCTCTTACTATATATCACCTTTACATTTTTTATTTTTCCAAACCAATAGCAATTTAAAAAAATGCTATATGATTATATTAGAGTCAACAGTTTCACACTGTTTGAATCCAAATATTAAAAAGAGCATTTGTTTATTGACCTTAAATAATTCAATAAAATGCATGAACTATACCATTAATTTTCTTTAGCACAGAAAGCTATGAGAATAACTTCCTAGGAATTATTTTTTAGTAAAGCTTTGAAAACAATATTTTGTTCACAGATGCAAATGTTTTCTACAACTCACTCGTAGTTTATTTTCATACTCTAGTTACGTAACTCTATTTAAAATTAACGCTAAACTCTTACAAGACATTTGCCTCTCTACTTTTTTTTTTATAAAGTCAGTGGTAGGTTTAGAAGAGGTAAATTATTCCAGAGAGAATCAGCACATTATCACAAATTCTGTGACCTTATTCAGCTACATGGTTTCTTTTGAAGTATTATCTCATAAAAACACTATTAAAACATGTCTTAGGCAGCAGATCTAAGGTTTCTAAGGCACATTTCTCAACAATTAACCACAGTGTTATGCTTCAATTGCATTGTTTGATGTCTACATTTAAGTAGTATTTTTTCTTCTCCACGTGAATGCATTAAGTGGATGGAATGACTTTATAATGATGATATATCAATATTTATAATAGCTGGAAAGGTTCTGTACTTTTATACTGATGTTTATAAATCTTAAAGTATTAATTTATGTAGCCTGGAAAAGCTACTATTATAAAATGAAGTGCTACGAAGTTATAACATTAACTTCTTGCTGATTCAGAGACAATATAATCATTTCCCTGAATAAATATTTTGTGTCAAGGAGAGAGTTCTTAAAATAATGAATTCATTGTTACATATCACCTACACATATGTATAACCTCAGTGGTGAGACTCTGAGGATTGCTTTACAAACAAGATAGCTGAAAAGGAAAGCAATACATTCAGTATGCAGAAAACAAAATTATAACTACATTAAATTTGTTGGAAGTCTTCTATTTGAAGATGAAAAAAATGCCATTAAATTGGCTGAAAGGAAAATTATATTGACGATGAAGACAGGTTGCATGGTCTATGGTTTGTAATGTTGCTGTACAGTAAATTGGAGTTTCAAAATAGTATTACTCTTCTTTAAAGAGATAGACACAGCTGAATTAGGTGTTGCTTGCTGCAGTGAGGATCAAATACAAAAAGAATCATATTTCATCAGACCTAGTCAACACCAGGAGAATAAATAGAAATATAAGAGGTATGCAGGCAATGATTCATTTTGATAATGTGGCTCAAGAGAGACACATAGAGACAGCACACGGATCTAAGCTTCTATCAAAAGACAAATAGGACACAGAGGGTGGGAACTGGGATGACAGTGTAGCAGAGGTCACATCGATTTTCAGCAGCAGTTTTAACATGGATGAGATAACCCTGGACTCTATTTGGCCCATTGTTCATATCCTACCTGTCCCACAAGCAATAAATTTCCTAGTCCTAGAAAAAGGGCCATAAAGAAGAAGGATTCTACTTATGACTTCTTATGATTAAGTTTCTGTGCTAACCAAACATGCTTTTCACACCAAGGTCACATTGCATGTTAAGGTCCATAATAGCCCAAAAGCAGTAGAAGTGTATTATGTTTTAGTGTATGCAAGAGGAAACTGTCAAACCATACATCAGATTTTTTTTTCCTATTTAACTCGTTTGCTACAAAAATGAATGGTAAATGAACTGGAAATCAATTTCAATCTTGTAATATATTTTTACATCTGAACAGCATCTGAATTTTGCTCAGAATTTAAATAAGTGCACTGTTATGTAGGAGTTTACTAGATAGGGTTGAAAAATCCTAATTGGCAATACAATTTTAAATGGGCAAGTTCTAGAAACATAGGCTATTGGTTAAATAAGAGCATCTCTTATTAAACCCAGGAAAAAGGATTTTGATTTTTTTTATTTAAAAAGCTGGTATTCAAAATGTAAATAGTAAAACCTTTATCAGCACATAGAACATAATAGTATAAACTACAAAGTAAGAATAGGAGAACTGCCATCTAGTCAAGGACATGAGTGATCTCTTCACTTATTAAAGCAAAGTGGAAACCACTTTTATTAAGCCTGTTTGTTAAACCTGCCATACTTTGTAATAGCACTTGGGCATCCACTTAGAGAATAAGCTCCATTTTAACTTATTTCGTAGAGCCCAGATGAATAGATATAAAAGTTGACAAGAACTTTTGTAGGAAAAAAAGATAAATATATAGTGAATACTCAAAATAGAAAAATCACCCAGAAAATTAAGTCCAGGCTGCTAGAGGCTCTCTACATGACTCTAATGCTTATTTTCCCATTTTGCATGGAGTGTGTCTCCTCTGGGCTTTAAGGATTGTGATACAGGAATATAAACAACACAGCTGACTAACTCAGCAGTAGAAAATTGTAGCTACCTACCAGGTCATCAGTTTTATTCGTTATCAAGTAAATTATACTTTATTATTTTATTTGAGATCTTTTCCCTAAATACTATTGTCCCAGGTGACCCATTTTTTTTTTTTTTGGCAATGTCATTATTATTACATTCAGGACAAGTGAGACACCTGCTTCCCTCTAACAAACTGAGGAACAATTACAACAATAAAATGACCAACTGCTGTGTAATGTGACTTGTGTGAATATAAGGAAGTGTACATAGCTTCAATGACTCCTCAAGTATTGCCATCATCAAATGTGGAAAAGCTTGATCCCCAAATTGTTGTATTTCTTTAAGGAGATGAAATAAAAATAATACAGATAAATGAAAACAGAAAGCTAGTAGCAAAGGAATGAAGACGTACCAGCCTGAGAAAGTGACACAGATACTCTAAAACCAATTATGCTCATTTGCTGTGGATCCTTAGATTAGCAATTTCACATAACAGGCTCCTTTATAAATCATGTATTGGAATTCAGTCATCTTTCAGACAAAATGTTATTCCAATAACAAATATTATGTCCAGTAAAAGGTTTGGAAGAAGTATGACACCCAGTTCTTGTCATTAAGGAGCGGATACATTATTTAGGAAAACAGTGGACACTTAAGCTTGAATCATGTTCATGTGGCATAGATTGTTATTTGCCTCTAGGAGTTCAAAGAAGAGATCACTGTACTTTGGAATGAACCCTTAATAATCTGTTCACTCTCTAGCTGAAAGGCATTCCCACTGTCCTTAGACTAAAGCCCCACAGAACTTCCACGTGATATTAGGTGTTCTAACAAGAAAAGCTTCGTTGCTCAAATTAGTGTTGAGAAAACAGGCCTAAACAATATTTAACAATTTTCCTTAAAGCTAGGATTGCTAGATACATTACAGGGTGCTCTGTGGAATTTGAATTTCAGATAAACAGCAAATCATTGTTTAATATAATTATGTCCAAAATATTCCATAGGACAGATTTAGACTAAAAATTGGTGTCTCATTTATCTGAAACTCATATTTCACAGGGCACAGTTTTCCTTTATTTTTAACTTGCTAAATCTTTTAGAGCAGAACATCTCAGACCCCATTTCACAAATCACCGCTAAAGAGCTTACTCTTGTGACCAAATACCAACTGTGTCCCAAAATCCTGTGGAATTTTTTAAAATAAAAAATATGCGAATAGTAAATATTAACATATGTTATATGTCAAGATAGGAAGCAGAGAGCATAATGAAGAGCAAAATACACTGGAGCCTGATTGCTTGGGTTTGAATCCCTGCTCTATGATTTGTAGAACCCTGGGAAAGTTGCTTAACCTTTCTATGCCTCAGTTTCTTTATCTATAAAGTTAGGATAATAGTAACACCTACCTCTTAGGGCTGTTATAAATATTAATGAACTACTATTAGCAAAATTGATAGAATAATTTCTGATCCAAAGTAAATGCAATATAAATGTTTATTAAATAAATGGTAGTTGAAAATTTACAGAAGTGAAAGAGGAGTATATAGTCATATATTTGACAACCTAAGCATCTATTAACACCTCATGAAACACAATGTTTGGAAATACCCTTCTCTAGGTAAAAACTGGATGAGCCCAGCTTCACCTTAAATTAGCCCACTTTTGCTTTCCAAGTCATTGAAGGCCTGAAGACACAGGTCAGTGGTTTTTAACCAGGAGCAATTTTGTTGCCCAGAGGACATATGGCAATAGCTACAGACATGTTTGATTGTCAAGACTACATACTGCTGACATCTAGTGGTAGAGGCCAGTGATGTTGCAAAACGCCCACAAAGCATAGGAAAGAAAGCCCTTCACCCCCGATCACCACTGGATTCCCAACAAAGAATTATCTGGCCAAATGTCAATACTGGTTGGGAAGCACTGTTCTTTCCTATTTTTCATATAGGAAAATCTCAATGAAAGGACAGTTAACTAGATTTCCCCTTCTACAGGTTGAGGATCCCTTATTGGAAAATCTAAAATCTGAAATGCTTCAAAATTCAAAACTTTTTGAGCTCAGACATTAAGCCACAAGTGGAGTAATCCACACCTGACATAATGTGACAGATCACAGTCAAAATACAATAAAAACTTTGTTTCATGCACAAAGTTATTAAAAACATTTTATAAAACTACCTTCAGGCTAAGTTTATAAGGTGTATATGAAAAGTAAATTAAGTTCATGTTTAGACCTGAGTCCCATCCCCAACATATTTAATTATGTATATGCAAATACTGCAAAATCTGAAAAACCCAAAATTAAAAATGATATGGTTTGGACCTGTGTCACTACACAAATCTCACGTCAAAAATCCTCAGTGTTGGAGATGAGGCCTGGTGTGAGGTGATTGGATCGTGGGAGTGGAGTTCTCAAGACAGTGAGTGAGTGAAGAGATCTGGTTATTTAAAAGTGTATGACACCTCCCCATCTATCTCTTCCTCCTGCTCTGGTCATATAAGACATGCTTGCTTCCCCTTTGCCTTCTACCATGATTGAAAGTTCCCTGAGGCCTCCCCAGAAGCCAAGCAGGTGCCAGCATCACGATTCCTGTACAGCCTGTGAAACTGTGAGCCAATTAAACCTGTTTTCTTTATAAGTTACCCAGTCTCAAGTATTTCTTTATAGCAGTGCAAGAACAGACTAATGCAGAAAATTGGTACCAGAAGTGGGGTATTGCTATAAAGATACCTAAAAACGTGGAAGCAGCTTTGGAACTAGATAACAGGAAGAGATTGGAGGAATATAGAAGGTCAAAGACAGGAAGATGAGGGAAGGTTTGGAACTTTCTAGAGACTTTTTAAATTGTTGTGACTAAAATGCTTATAGTTATATGGACAACGAAGCCCAGACTGAGGAGGTCTCAGATGGAAATGAGAAACTTATTGGAAACTGGAGGAAAGGTCACTTTTGCTATGCTTTAGCAAAGAGCCTTGCTGCATTGTGTGCCTGCTCTAGGGATCTGTGGAACTTTGAACTTGAGAGTGAGGATTTAGGGTATTTGCCAGAAGAAATTTCTAAAAAGCAAAGTGTTCAAGATGTAGCCTGGCTGCTTGTAACAGTGTATGCTTTTATGTGTGAGCAAACAAATGACCTGATACTGGAACTTATGTTTAAAAGGGGAGCAGGGCATAAAAGTTTGGAAAATTTGCAGCCTGGTCATGTGTAGGAAAAAAAAAAAAGCCCATTTTCTGGTGAGGAATTCAAGTGGGCTGAAGAAATTTGCATAAGTAAAGAGGAGCTAAATGTTAATAGCCAAGACAATAGGGAAAATGCCTCAAAGGCATTTCAGGGACCTTCCTGGCAGCCCCTTCCATCACAGGCCTTGAGGCCTAGGAGGGAAAACATGATTTCGTGGGCCAGGCCCAGGGCCACACAGCCCTGTGTAGCCTCAGAACACTGCTCCCTGCATCCCAGGCACTCCACCTTCAGCCATGGCTAAAAGGGACCCAGGACTGATACTTTAGAGGAAAAAGCCATAAGCCTTGGCCGCTTTCATGTGGTGTTAAGCCTACAGGAGCACAGAGTGCAAGAGCTGAGGCTTGGGAGCCTGTGCCTAAATTTTAGAGAATGTGTGGAAAAGCCTGGTTCCCCAGGCAGAAGCCTGTGGCAGGGGTGGAGCCCTCATGGAGAACCTCTACGAGTGCAGAGCAGAAGGGAAATATGGAGTTGGAGCCCCCACACAGAGTCCCCATTGGGGCACTGCCTAGTAGTGGAGCTGTGACAGGGGGCCACCATCCTCCAGAACCCAGACTTATGGATTCACCAACAGCCTGCACTATGAACCTAGAAAAGCCACAGGCAATCAACACTAGCCCTTGAGAGTAACCGTGGAGGTTGAACCCTGCAAAGCACAGGGGCAGATCTGCCCAAGGCCTTGGGAGCCTATTGTACTAGTATGCCCTGGATGTGAGACATGAAGTCAAAGGATACTCTTTTGGAGCTTTAAGATTTAATGACTGCGCTGCTAGGTTTCAGACTTGCATGGGGCCTGTAGCCCATTTCTTCTGGACAATTTCTTTCAGAATGGGAGTATTTACCCAATGCCTATACCCTCATTGTTTTTTGGAAGTAACTAACTTGTTTTTGTTTTACAGGGTCATAGGCAGAAGGGACTAGCCTTGTCTCAGATAAGACTTTGGACTGCAAACTTTTGAGTTAATGATGGAATTAGTTAAGACTTTGGGGTACTGTTGGGAAGGCATGATTGTATTTTGAAATGTGAGAAGGGCATGTGATTTGGGAGGGGTCAGGGCAGAATGATATGGTTTGGATCTGTGTCCTTACCTACATTTCATGTCAAACTGTCATCCCCAGTGTTGGAGATGCAGCCTGGTGGGAGGTGATTGGATCACTGGGGGAAAGTTCTCATGAACGGTCTAGCACCATCTCCTGGTGCGGTTCTCATGATAGTGAGTGAGTCAGTTCTCATGAGATCTGGTTATTTAAACATGTGTGCCAAGACAGGCTTGCTTCTCCTTTGCCTTCTGCCATGATTGAAAGTTTCCTGAGGCCACTTCAGAAGCTGAGCAGATGCCAGTATCATATTTCCTGTACAGCCTGAAGAACCATTATCCAATTAAACCTCTTTGCTTTATAAATTACTCAGTTTCTGGTGTTTTGTTATAGCAATGCAAGAATGGACCAATAATGGAAACATGTCTGGTCTGAAGCATTCCAGATAAGCGATATTCAAACTGTAGAGAATGTAATAAGCTTAATAAGAAAAAAAGTCAAATAAAAATTTAGAACTAACAAAATGCTTTACAAGGTGTGTTTTAGAGTGTTTATGCATTTCACTTGAGATTGCCACCTGTATGATTTGCTCAAATGGTATCTTCTTTGTGAAACCTATACTGGCCATCCCATTTAACACTGCAACCTGCACCCCTATTTCTACCTCATTGAGACAATTTATTTTGTTCTGTAAAATTAAGCACCATTTAATATACAATATAATATAATTATTTATTTTATTAAATATTTTATTCCAGTACAATTGAATCTTTTTGAGGGTAGTGACTTTTTTCTGATTTTTATTTGCTCACTGTTGTCTCCTCAGTATCTAGAATAGCCACCATCATGTGTCTATCTATAACATATGCAATGATATTTGATATGTACACTGGTAACCTTAAAGCCCTGTAAGATTTCGAATCATCAGATTGATTCCACTATTTCTTTTTTATTCAAAAAGACAAGATTGTACATGAATATATAATTTATGTATTTATTTATTTACAAATATGTGGTAGAATGAAGGAAGAAAGGGGATGGAGGTAAAGAGTTTCTGGTCAACTCTTAGTCTCTCCAATAAAATAAATGATTACTATAATCTACAAATATTGTGACAAACTGAAATTTTACAATTTCGAAAAATAGCTTGTATAGTTGTCACAGAATGTCTAGTGTAAATTTATTGAACTTGTCTACATAGCATAGTCCTCTGAGCAAAAAAATTTAAAGCATAAACCTTTCTCTCCCACACACATAGTTTCCCAAAATCTCTGAGATGATCTATTGTTATATCAGAGATAAAGCAGACCTGACTGATTTTTTGGAGTAACTCTATATTTTATAGAGCCTAGAAATACAAAACTGCTGAGGTTCCAGAAACAGACTAGAAGTTGATCTAAAATCTGCAAAGAAAAACAAGAACTTCTGATACAAACAAACAAAAAGCACCAAAGGCATGTACAAGTCCCTTCTCCAGAAAACCAGCCTGGCTACCTCTGTGTAAAAGGCTGCACAAAAAATAACATTTTATGAGTGCCAAGTAACATTATAACAGTTTGCATCATAAATTGGCAAACAAGTGGCAGGATTGGGAATGGGGTAAGGTAGAAAGAAAGCTGCTGTTTTAAAGAGATGTGTTTGGGATAGATGGAGGAGGAGGGCACCCATTTCCATAAATTAGATGACCCTTCCAGGTGATAATGTTTTGTCACTCCGGCTCATTTGTAAAATGGCTTTGTGCCTTCCCTCTGAAATCTGAGTATGCCAGCCATCGTGGTCCCTCAGTGGCAGCTTTCAACCTGACGTGTCAAGTCAGCCATGTTGCCCATATTCCCCAGGATTCTAATATAGGTTTGCTTTTAGTCTTACTGGGGGCTCAGGCATCTGGCTGGCTGAAGAGGCTGCAAAGCGGATTTCTCATTTTGCTTCCCTGCCAGGAGACATCCAGTCTTCTTTTTTTTTTTTTTTTTTTTTTTCAACCAAGAAAGAAACTTCTCTTCTTAATCTGGCACAGATCAGGAAGGGAAATTTACTGTTCTGACCTGGCAATTCAGGTGCCAAATTTAAAAATCACTGCTTTCATATTTGGTTAGTTAACTTATCTGACTGAGTAGAAAGAGTCAATGGAAGGTAGAAGGGAGCAGGTTATTCATCCAGCACTTTAGAGCATAGTTCTCAAACTTTACCATGCATAAGAATGCACTGAAAGTCTTTTAAATACACATTCCTTGCTTCCAGAGTTTCTTACTCAGTAGGTATAGAGTAGAGCCTGGCAATTCGAATTTCTAATAAGTGCCCAATTGATGCTAAAGTTGCTGGTGTGGGAATGACAATTCAAAAAACCACTGGGCTATATAAAGGTTAATTTTTGCTACATTTACAAGATTTTAATATTGCTTCCTATCACAATATATTTTTTAACTAGTTACTTTTCACATTTCAAAAAATCGTTTCAAAAATGATACCTAATTTTAAGGATGTATTGCCAAAGCTTCAAGAAATCGAATAAAATTAAAGACATATATCAACCAGTTGGTTTTCTAGATATAGAGGTTGTGAAAATCAATTTACACTGCAGAAAAACATGCATAATGGGCCAATTTGTAACATAGATTCAGGAAACAAAATAGTAAAAAACATGAGCCTATACAAATAAAAGGAAAATATTTTTCCAAGAATGAATTCTATGGATTATAAATTTACTTGTATCCAAGAAAGTTATAAAGAAGATATTTCAGAGGATTAAGATTAAAAATTAAAGATAATTCAAAATCAGAATGACTCTATCATGGAAAACTTGGGAAAACAGTCTGTATAACACAGAATTCACAGTTTGTCACCTCCTATAAACTCTTTCATGAGGAACATGCCCTTAATTACACAGATTTGACATTTTTATCAATATGCTCACTAATAACTGTGCAATTATACCTGTTTGTAATCTATGCATATTCACATTTTCATGTTACCACAGTACTAATGACAGACAGTTCTGTTTTCATTAGTCATCTCCTTCTCTTGTTCACGCACACCCACGTATGTGCACATACCCACAATCACTGAGAATATGTACTGATATTTCAGTCTTAGCTAAAATATGGAGGCAATGGGCTTGGTACAGTGGCATGAACCCGTAGTTCCAGCTATTCAGGATGCTGAGGTAGAAGGATCACTTGAGCCCAGGAGTTTGAGGCTGCAATGCACTATGATCATGCCTACGAATAGCCACTGCACTCCAGCGTGGGCAATGTAGTGGGACTCCACCTCTTCAAAAAATTTAAAAAAAAAAAATTGATGCACTGAGCCATCACGTGTTTTATACAAAAAATTAAGGGTTTTCCTAATAGATGAGTTTGATACCATAATTTCAATACTGTTATAAACTTAGCTAACTCAAAATGACCCTAATATTTTTATTTTAGAAAGCTGAATTTTATTAAAAATATATATTTAATTAACAAGGCAAAGCACTGCAATTTTCACATTTTTTTTCTTGTCCTGTGTAATATAGACATTAAGATAATAAAAACTGTTGCGCCGGGCACAGTGGCTCATGCCTGTAATCCCAGCACTTTGGGCGGCTGAGGTGGGCAGATCACTTGAGGTCAGGAGTTCAAGACCAGCCTGGCCAACATGGCGAAACCCCATTTCTACTAAAAATACAAAAATTAGCCAGGCACAGTGGCAGGTGCCTGTAATCCCAGCTACTCGGGAGGCTGAGGCAGGAGAATCGCTTGAACCCAGAAGGCGAAGGTTGCAGTGTGCCGATATCACACCACAGCACTCCAGGATGGGAAAGAGAGTGAGACTCCATCTCAAAAAACAAACAAACAAAGAAACAAACAAACAAAAAAAGCTGTTGCTTCTCACCTGAAAATTTCTTAAGTTTTATCAAAGAAGTTTGTATCTATTAGTAATGCTTAATTTAACAACCTTTACCAAAAGCACAATCCTAGTTTTAGATGCTGTCTATTGCTATGAAAATTCATACCATCTTATGGACACTCTTTTTCTGATAAAAATAATAATAAAATAATTCATAATATATATCCAAAGAGGCAAGGATGTGTAAATGCCAGCACTAGAACACATGAATGTGCCATTTTGTTTTATGTTTTAATGCTGCCTCTTCCCCATCTTCATTTCTAGTTTGTGGGGACTGATTCAACTTTACTTTCTTCTATTTCAATATTCTCACCTTACTTAATGACTTTTATCAGAAACACTTTTGAGTTCCTAGTTGTGCATTGTATTGTGGCATAAATCAAAGTGCTATAAATTGAAGAGTGTGGTGGTGATTTTCTCTAATAACTATTAGACAAAGAGGAATATTTTCAAAAAACTTTTCAATTAATTAGAAATCTTTAAAAAATGTATCATGCAGTTGAACGTAAATGATTATACAAAGGTTAATCATCTGATACGTCCCTTTCTGATTTTAACTTATTTCCTATGAGTCTGCCTTCTTCTTATAGCACAATAAACATTACTGAATGTCTCTCTGTGTTGGGATGTTACACAGTGACCCTATTTGTAGAATATAAAGATCTACCTCAGAGTGTTTGTGGGAAGTTTAAAGGAAAAAACTCAAATGCAAAACACTTAGCATGGTACTGAGCATATAGTTGGCCCTCAAAAAGATGAGCTACATCTGAAGCTATGCTAGCCTTGTAGATCTGGAATGTTCAAGAAAAAGAAGTGCACTGAATATACATTGATTCCAGGATTTACCCAATAAATTCTTTAAAAAAATTTACTCTGGTAAACTGAGTGAAGAATTTACTTAATGTTTCAAGAATTAATAAAGGTATTATAGCATTGTATTTTGTCTTCCTAATAACCAGACAAAAGAATAAACTTGTAATTCTGTAAGTGAACTCTCTCAGATTAGCTCTAAAGTAGTTTGAGCCTGAAGTCTTCAAGCTACCTGAGTAGTCTGAATCGACGACCCATCCTGCTTCAGCTCTCCCTCCATGGGCAGCACCCACTGTCCAACCAGTCCGAATGAGATGAGCCAGGTACCTCAGTTGGAAATGCAGAAATCACCTGCCTTCTGCATTGATCTCCCTTGGAGCTGCAGACACGAGCTGTTCCTATTCGGCCATCTTGCCAGCCACCAAGTCGCATTTTCCCCTCAAATTTAATTTAAGTTGTATATTTATTCCCATGCAGACTTGCAAGTTTAAGATAAGTGTACTTTCTACTAAGAATATAGGAAAAGGGGGACAGTTTGGGGTCTGGCTGTTGGGAAGGGGTGGCCACAAGACAGGCTGGGAAGATGCCAGTGGCAATGATGAAGGAAAGTGCCTTCAGTTTCAAAAAGTTGTTGGATCAGTGCGAGAACCAAGAGTTCCAGGGTCTTGGAGGAACTGCTGCACCCCCAGTGAATGGTCAGCTTCTAGCTTTTTATTTGCTCCATAACGACATGAATAATCCAAGATATCTTTGGGAAAGAATACCACCTGCTATAAAATCTGCAAATTCTGAACTTGGGAGAATTTGCTCAGTAGGAAAAAAATTCTGACATAGAGATTTCTTTGGGATGTATACAACCCTCCGTGCTTACCAGTAGCCTAAGATGTTCCAGTCAATTATGGAAGCACTTAGAGATACAACAAGGAGATGAGCCTTTGCCCTGCCCTCTCAAGTGTATATCTCAATAATCGTTGATGATTTTGAAGCCTTTTTTGGATGTCCTGTAGAAGAGGCTGTGAAAGGTATATTAAAACAAGAATGGCAAGCTGACCCAACCATAAGAACGGTTATGCCCAGAAAGCCAATTGCAAGGGCCCTGGATGTTTCTTTTAACAAGTTTATTCCCTTGCCAGAGCCAATTCCAGTTCACCCATCCCCAGTGAATAGCAGTTATCCAGACTGACGGGTTATGTGGCTTTCCTTGATAACTGATTTATCATCCTGAGTTTAAGATCCACCTTCAGAATCCTGTATATTGACAAATATAGAAATGTAAAGTTTTTATTTTCAATTTGTTGCATAGATGAAGCACTTCAGCATTTCTTACTATGTGATAAAATATACATATAAAGTACAATGTTTTATGTACATTTTGTTCTTAAACATTATGCTGAGTAGTTGTTAAAACAGTTCTCACTTTGTAATATTTAACAGTCTGGATGGAGCCTCTCATTACTACAGCAGTTAGTTTGTTTTTTAGTGACTTGTGAAATAAGATTTCCTGTTTCTTGTAGAATAGTGGTTGTCAACTGTGTTTTGTCTGTGCAGATGCCCCAGCACATACCACACTCTCATCTGTACCATTGCTGGATAGTGGTAATGATTCATTTGGAGTTTGAGGGCAATATCTGTATTGCTAGGGATTATGATTCACCCTCTTTGGAGACTATGCTCTCTTTTCTCCCCAACTTCTGAGATCCACTAATGTAAAATGCAGAAATATGTCTGAGGAACAAATAAACCATTTTTATACTAAACCAGTTTGTTAACTTTAGATGTTTTCCAATACTATGAGTACATCTATTGCTGGCAGTGGAGGGCTTGCCATGAAAATGTGACTTATTTAAGACGTTCATGAGAAGTATTAAGTTGTATTATTTCCTTTTATAAGATGGGAAAAGTTAAGTGTGGAACGCATTATATGGAGAAAGAAGCAATTAAGACATGTGATACACTTTGTACAACTATCCAATGGCCTACTGATTGCTTGTATTTATCCTTTGGGTCAAGTTCTGCCCTTTGCAGAAATACTAAACAAGTCTTTCATTCTCTGTGTGACACCCTTCTGAATATTTGAAGTTGCTGTTTTATATCTACAGGTTAAAACAGCCCTTAGTTCATTTATTCTGCTTTTGTTCAATAAATATTTATATGAAAAAAAGAAAATATGAAAAATCTATCTTAATTTTTCCTGGCAAATTCGACCTTATTTTATTAATGCTAAAATTCCTTTACTTACTATTGTTACAAATATTTACGGATCCATATGGAATGGCAAATGTTGAAGCGAAGACACTACAGACATGTTTCACTTTTGCTAATAGCCCTAGTACTTGAGAATTTTTTTCTCATTTTTCTATCATAAGTGCTTTAGTTTGAAAGAAGAATCTTAAGTGTTTACTGAATATAAAACTATGTCTATGCTGAGGCTGGGTTTATGCAGACAGTAAGAGTGTGATGCTTTTAGTAACCTGCAAATATAAATATATATTATATATATACTTATGTATGTAAAATAAATATTTATTAAACATCTTTAACATCTGTCAAAGCTTGAAATGTAAAGAGAAACATAGTCAGTTCTCAACTTCCAGTGACATTTTAGTCACTATCATTTTCTCCTCTTATCTTTCCCAATTGGATTCTATCCTTACACACACAGTAGTTGCCCCTTATCTGTGATTTCATTTTCCAAAGATTTCTGTTACTCCTAGTAAATGGCAATCAGACAACAGGGGAGTACAGTACAATAAAATGTTTTGAGAGAAAGAGAGACCACATTCAAATAACGTTTACACAGTATATTGTTATAGTTGTTCTATATTTCCATCAGTTATTGTTGTCAATTTATTACTATGCCTTATTTATAAATTAAACTTTAACACATGTATGTATGTATAGAAAAAAAAAACAATATGTATGGGGTTCAGTACTCTTCACTGTTGTAGGCAACTACCAGAGGTTTTGGAACATATCCCCTGCAAATAAGGTGTGACTATTGTACTCAGAGCCAATGATACTTCTTTAGGGGAAACACTATTTTTAAGATATACTTCACATGAAGCCCTACAAAATTCAACGATTAGTATTAAATGCAGATGTTTCACATTTTCTGTTTTTATGAATGTGTAAATATTGTGAACTCAATAACCAGAGAAATTCTGCAACATGAAGAAAGGAAAATAAAGAGAAAATTAATATGTAAGATCTTTCAATACTAATATCTTGTAATCAGACTTAAACAAAACACCCAAAATTTCTGCCCTAAATTCCAATTCTATGAAATTGGTATATTTTTTGAGTCATTTATTTGGATAAAGTGCTTTAAAAATCAACATTATAACATTTGAGTCCCATGAAGTTATTTTCAGTTTAGTATTGAGAGGTGAAGCCAGCTGGACTTCCTGGGTTGAGTGGGGACTTGGAGAACTTTTCTGTCTAGTTAAAGGATTGTAAACACACCAAGGAGCGCTCTGTGTCTAGCTTAAGGTTTGTAAACGCACCAATCAGCACTCTGTAAAAATGCACCAATCAGCGCTTTGTGTCTAGGTAAAGGTTTGTAAACGCACCAATCAGCACTCTGTAAAAACGCACCAGTCAGCGCTCTGGGTCTAGCTAAAGGTTTGTAAACGTACCAAGCAGCACTCTGTAAAAACGGACCAATCAGCAATCTGTAAAATGGACCAATCAGCACTCTGTAAAATGGACCCATCAGCAGAATGTGAGCAGGGCCAAATAAGGGAATAAAAGCTGGCCACCCAAGCCAGCAGCGGCAACCCGCTCAGGTCCCCCTCCACGCTGTGGCAGCTTTGTTCTTTCGCTCTTCACAATAAATCTTGCTGCTGCTCACTCTTTGGGTCCGCACTACCTTTATGAGCTGTAACACTCACTGAAAAGGTCTGTGGCTTCACTCCTGAAGTCAGCAAGACCACGAACCCACCGGGAGGAACAAACAACTCCAGACGCACCAACTTTAAGAGCTGTAACACTCCCTGCGAAGGTCTGCAGCTTCACTCCTGAAGTCAGTGAGACCATGAACCCACCAGAAGGAAGAAACTCCAGACACATCTGAACATCTGAAGGAACAAACTCTGGACACACCATCTTTACAAACTGTAACACTCACTGCGAGGGTCCGCGGCTTCATTCTTGAAGTCAGAGAGACCAAGAACCCACTGGAAGGAATAAATTCCAGACGCAGTATCATATGTTAGCCATTTCTGCATTTGTTCTGAATCTGCCTTCATGTTTGCTTTGGATAACCTTAAGGAACATGCGGCCGGGCGCGGTGGCTAACGCCTGTAATCCCAGCACTTTGGGAGGCCAAGGCAGGTGGATCATGAGGTCAGGAGATCGACACCATCCTGGCTAACATGGTGAAACCCCGTTTCTACTAAAAATACAAAAAATCGGCCGGGCGTGGTGGCACGTGCCTGTAGTCCCAGTTACTCGGGAGGCTGAGGCGGAAGAATGGCATGAACCCAGGAGATGGAACTTGCAGTGAGCAGAGATAGCGCCACTGCACTCCAGCCTGGGTGACAGAGCGAAGATTCTGTCTCAAAAAAAAAAAAAAAAAAGAACATGCTTCCATCACCTGAACAGCTATATCTACTCACTTCACTTAGCGATTTTAACTTCCTTAATTCTATTTGGTCACTAGGGAAGATCACTTTGCTCACTGCCTTTCTGTCCATTGTCACCTCTCCTGCATTATTCATTTCCCATTAGACATTTTTCCAGTGTGAATGGCTAAATACTGTATTTTTAACATGGCATTGAAATTACTTCCTCTTCTTGGCTAATGACAAGATATTTGATCTTATCTCCAGTTAAAATACCTATATTAACAGATGGTGAAGTGCATCATAGTCAGCCTATGATTCTCAACCACCATCAACATCCCAATTTCTCAGGAGACTTTACTAATAATCCATGTAACCATCTAACCTTACCTACCACTGTCTCTGACAGTTGGCATATTTTAAAAAATTATGAGGGTGAAAAGCAATACAATATGTATTCAAGTTTGAACACTGATGTGTATTGCTTTATTGCCACTGCTACAAGTTTCCAGAAGATACTTTCTCATCTGGATACTTACAACATGTGTTTTCTTCCCCCATTTGCCTAGAAAATTGACTCACTGGTTAGCAAAATTCTACTATTGATACCTTGTAGCTTTTTAAACATTGTCAACCCAAACCTTTGAAGCATATAGGGGTTGCATTTTCAGGTCCCAGGTAATTATTTTTTATTTGCTTTTCAATGGAATAATACATGTTGTAAAGGAAAACTTTACCTTTATGTTTTTCCGTGCTTAGACTTCACAAATGTTATATCCCATATCAGCACCGAGGCCAAAAACTGTAACACAATAGTGGTAGTATCCCCACAGATACTCCTACTAAATTAATTTTACTCCTACTAAAATTAAGATGTAAAATAAGAACAATTACTTAGGTCTCCTGTAATAAAAGAATGGTCTTAAAACTGTATTACTCATAATAATACTGACATTCCCATTAGTACTGTGGCATACGCTTTCAAAGCTGTATACCCTGTTCAAATGGCGTGGTGTCTTTTTGCAATACTGTTTGTGTCCAAGCAGATACAAGGTTTATAGAGAATGCATGTAGGGAGCCATAAAACTGGTGGTAAACATATTTCTCCATGGTATTTTAGTACTTGGAAAAATTCAATCACAGGGAAATGTTTTGTTGTAAATATCTTAAAAGCCTTATACAGGCAATGGCTTCCCATAGCACCTGTTTAAATAATTTTAAGAGTGAGAATAGGTCTTCTTATATACCAAAGCCCACATTCTTTAAATTTCTTTGATTTTTACATGTCTTGCTTTTGAAATTTAAAAAAGATTTAAGTACAATGCACTTTGTGTGCTAGTATGACAATGAATAATCAGACTTCCAACTTGCAATGTTACCATGTTTTCCAAAATGAAACCAGGAAATACATTTTCACTTCAGCATAGGTTTTACTCTTTCTGTACAAGGTATCATTTGATGACTATAATTTGGCAAATAAAAATGACATGTTATATGCTCAATGTGCTTTACGTGTTTGTGTAAGTTTTGAATGAGCCAGAGTAGAAAAATAAGCCTTCAAAGTAGAGAACATTAGAGTTTAAATTAGAAGCAAAAACAGTTTAATGTTAAATTCAGAATTTTTGGAATTGAAATTTGGAAATATTTGTTTCTGATTTTATGATCTTTCTTGCTATTACACTTTGCCTTCTAGTCAGTCCTCAGAAATTTTATTTATGTTTGTAAATGGGAACCATGTGTGATGTGTGTGTATTCTCTCCCTACCCTTCAAGATAGAGTAAAATGGCACTTCCCACATCCTTCCTTTATCCCAAAGAGTGTATTCTCTTATATGTTTCTCAATAATCAATTTTATTAACTAGTATCTTTCTTCAAAATGTACTAGCAAACAATCCACAGAATAAAGACACACTACACCTATTGAATGGGAGAAAATATTTGAAAACCATTAATCCCACAAGGGTCTAATATTCAGAATATACAAGGAACTCAAACAACTCAATAGCAAAAAAAAACCCAAAAAACCAAAAACCTAATAATCCCATTATAAAGTGGGCAAAGGACATGAATAGACATGTCTCAAAAGAAGACATACAAATGGCCAACGGGTAGATAAAAAAGGCTCCACATCACTAATTATCAGGAAAATGCAAATTAAATCCACAATGAGATGTCATCTTAGAATGGCTATTGTTAAAAAGAAAAAAAAATAACAGATGCTGGAGAAGATGTGGAGAAAAGGGAACTGATATAAAGTTGGTAGGAATGTAAATTAGTACAGTCACTATGAAAAACAGAATGGAGATTTCTTGAAAAACTAAAAATAGAACTACCATATGATCCAAGAATCCTACTACTGGATATTTTTCTAAAGGAAAAGAAATCAATATATCAAAGGAATATCAGAACTCTCATGGTTTTGTAGCATTATTCACAATAGCAAAGATATGGAATAAACCAAAGTGTCCATCAAGGGATGAATGGATAAAGAAAATGTGTTATATATACACAATAGAATACTACTTGGCCATAAAATAGAATGAAATCCTGTCATTTGCAGCAACATAGATGGAATAGGAGGTCCTTATGTTAAGTGAAATAAGCTAGGTACTGAAATACAAATATTATATGCTATCACCCATATGTGGGAGCTAAAAAACATCTCATGTTGGTAGAGAGTAGAATGATAGTTATCAGAGGCTGGGAAAGGTATGTGTGTTGGGGGAAGGAGATGAAGAGGTTAGTTAATGGGTACAATCATATAATGAAATAGAAGGAATAAGTTCTAATGTTTGATAGCAGGATAGGATGACTATAGTTAACAATAATATATTATATATTGCAAAATAGCTAGAAGAGAGCACTTGAAATGTTCCCAACACATAGAAATGGCAAATGCCAGAGGTGATGAATACCCTAAATACACTGACATGATCATTTCACATTCTACGCTTGTGACAAAATACCACATATCTTGCATAAAATATACAAATATTATATATCAATAAATTTTACTGGCAGTTTCCAATTGTTTTGCAAAAAGAATAAAGTTATAATAAGGAAATATAAAACCTCCACCTGTTATCTAGCTGCCTCTTTTTAAAATTATGTAACATGCCTGCCAAAATATTGAAGCCTAAACAAGAATCATTCCTCCCTGCCTCTTAAAGATGTCCACCCTTTTGAAGAAAGCAAAGACATAGTACAAAAACTTTTCACTTTGAAATCCTATGCAGTGTAAATTTTCTGACCACACATATAGAATCTCATACTATCTACTAAAATACGTTCTTCAAATGTTATTTATATGCTTTATCAGTAATCAAATAATCTGTAAAACAAACCCCCATAACACAAGTTTATCTATGTAACAAACCTTTACTTGTACCCCTGAACTTAATATAAAAGTAAAAAAACTTCACATGTTAATGTCTTAAATCTCTAGTTAGACTTAAATTATTTGAGAGTGGGGACTATGACCTACTTATTCTTTTTCCTCTGCAGAGGCTATCATTTTGCTTTATACACAGTAGACATTCAATAAATATCTGTTTTCTAAATTACATATGACAGAAAGTCATATGAACATTTGAAATAAGCTAGAGCTTCCTAGAGAGCACATATTAAGGCTTAAAACACAAAAGCCTAAAGGTAAATGGATTCCTAGACTGAATTCCTAGAAACTTCCCATGATTCTTAATTTAAGGAAAGAGCACTCAACAGGTTAACATTCATTCTGTTGAATGTGGTTGAAGTGGGATTGTTCAATATTGTAAATATGTCTAGTGGTCAGAAAGCCAGTAATTAGAAGAGGATTTGAGGTATTGATTCACTGCTTATCAAATGAATATTCCCTAAATTCAAAATGAATGGGTTTCTGTAAGTGGAAAAGAAGTGTTGTATGATTCTTCTAGCATTCCTGGAGATCATTTCTTTAAGTAGTGTTCTATGCTTAGTGTGAACTAGGTTCTTACTCTCTGAGAGTTAATTACCAAATTGTTTTATGTCCTTAGTAACAACATACTACAGCTGACCCTTGAACAATATGGGTTTGAACTGTGCAGGTCCACTTACACAAATTTTCTTCCACCACTGCCACCCCTGAGACAACAAGACTAACCAGTCCTCTTCCTCCTTCTCAGCCTACTCAACATGGAGACAGTAAGGTTGAAGACCTTTATGATTATATACTTTCATTTAATAAACAGAAAATATATCCTCTGTTCCTTATAATTTGCTTAATAACATTTTCTTTTTTCTAGCTTACTGTATTGTAAGAATGCAGTATATAATACATGTAACATACGATATATGTTAATTGAAAATTTACATTATCAATAAAGTTTCCAGTCAACAGCAGGCTATCAGTAGTTTTAAGTTTTTGGAGAGTCAAAAGTTATACATGTGGCCAGGCATGGTGGCTCATGTCTGTAATCCAAGAACTTTGGGAGGCTGAGGCAGGAGGATCGCTTTTAGCCATGAATTCTAGACCAGGCTGGGTAACATAGCAAGACCCTGTCTCTACATTTTTTAAATTATCCAGCCATAGTGGTACACATCAGTAGTCCCAGCTACTTGGGAGGCTAAGGTGGAAGATTCCTTGAGCCCAGGAGGTTGAGGTGGCAGTGAGATATGATTGCATCACTGTACTCCAGCCTGGGCAACAGAACAAGACACTGTTGCTTAAAACAAACAAATAAACAAAGAGTTATATGTGAATTTTTGACTGGAGGCAGGTGGTGGTTACTGCCCCAACTTCTGCATTGTTCAAGAGTCAATGGTATTTACAATGTAAAGTGGATTTATTCTATTTAAGTTATAATATTTAGAAAAACAGAATTTTAAATTTGTGGATTCTAATCTCTTGTGTACTTGTTCTTTATTACATACAACAAATATAATTTAATACTGAATGCTGTACTTTCAAAAAAGACTAGCCATAGCTGTATACAACTTGAGCTGTGTCTATGCATACGACTATATTGACCCTTATTGTTGAATCATTTGGGTGTAGAACATTTAGTAAATTCAAACAAAAAGAAACCAAATCAATTATCTTGCAAAGTTGACATCTTTTCAGATTGAATTGATTGTCCAATTCAATTTTAATGACAAATCTCTGTGTGTGTGCATACATGTGTATGATAGTCAAGTGCATATAAAACGTAAAGCTACTCTCTCCATTTCTACCAAGAAACACAGTACACATGTGAAATATTTTTCTAGGCAAAATAAAATAATTTTCATAGTACTGAAGTATTATCTAAAATTGAATTACAACCGAGAAAATCAATTATTCATTGTAATTTTCCTTTGGTTAATTCCATTCCTCCACCTTTGTCAAAATGTACATCATTAGGGAAATAGGTGACATCTATTTCTATTGACTTGACAAACAGGTAGTTTTATGAGTCCTTTTGGCATCATATTTTATATGCAAAAATGTTACCTCTATGCTGTAGCATCTCCATACACAGAAAATGCATTACACACAAATGTATAGTGTTTAACTACATTTTATCTTCTTATCTCCCTTCAGTGTTATGCACATGGCCATATCTTATACTTTGCTCAAATTCATTTATTAGAACCAAGGTAGAGCTATATCATGTTATCTAGGGCTTAAAAGATGGCAGACTCCTTTTCACACCTTTTGAATAAACACAATGATTTAGAACATTTTCACTGAAAATAATTAAAAGACAGGGATATGTTTTATAAATTGTATAGAGCATTTGAAATAGACTCCATTTATTGTTTTTGGAATTTTTAAAAAAATTATTGATACCAGATGCAACCTTTTGGGTTTTAATGGTTTCAAGAGGTTGTTGCAACCTAAAAGTTAGGGTAAATGTATTTGTGTTAGCCATGCAAACTAAACACTATCCAAATATTCAATCATCCTTTAAAGATCTAACCTAAAAGATTGAATACCTGTTGCTGGAAAGCCACACAAAAATTCCATCAGAGACAAGGGTGATTCCCTTCTTTCACAAGGAAGATAAAATTACCTCATGGGAGCTGCTGTCCTTTTCCATTACTGAAACCACAAAGAAGCCTCTACAATTTAACCATTTGTAATAACAAATCACAACTTTTATTCTTATTTCATGAATCAGTAATCATAGTTACACAATTTTTACATTCATAGTAAAATGGTCTAGAGTAATATAAATTGAGAATAAAGGTTTGTCTGAGGGGGAAATAAAAACCTCTTAAGATGTAGACATACGGATTTTAAAAATACCTCTTGAAATTCTCAAAAAGTGGAAAGCTAACCGTATAAGTAAGGACAAATCAGGAGAAAGTGTACTTAGATGTACCTTAGGAGTAGGGCCAGCCTATTTAAAACAAACAAATAACTTCTAAATATTCTTAGAGCCCCATTCAACTTTAAATTTAAGTTGGTATTTTATCAAGGAGGTTAAAAAAAGAGAAACTTAAAGTGAGTTTCCAGTGACTTAAATGTGTCTTCTATGTAATGTGAATATAAATAAGGTTTCGTTTCCTGGCTGATAGTTTCTGAGCAGTTGTTTTCCTCTTTACTCTGCAATTCAGCCATTGGTGTGAGAAAAATCTCCATTCAGTAACAATAAGGGAAAGGAGAAATCCTCATTAGGTTGAAGTGTGGCTATTATCAGTCAAAATAAAAGAAATCATCATGGAGAAGAAAAAGTGAGAAAGTGGTATGATTACAAATAATGTTTTGCATATCATTGCAGTCCAATGATTGTGAAAAGACATGCAACATGTAGAAGAAAATTCAATTGCATACATGGGGTCTCAAATTAGAGTAGGTAGTTAGGTGGAAATGAACAGGCAAGAGACCCACACCCCACCAGGAATGTCAGGCAACCATAAAGTGGTGGTCAGGTGGTTGTTAAGCTGTCTCTCTAAAATAGTAATTGGTTGCAGCTAGCACCAGGGAAAGTCAGTCTCCCAATAGATAGAAAACACCTGAAGCCGGTGATCAGCAGCTTCCCAGTGAGATCTCAGGAGCTGGGCGAGTAAGCTTAAGCATGCACACTAAGAGGCAAGCAAAATGGCAGAGTTTAACTGGTATATGATCTTCCTATAGGAATACTCGACTGATAAGGAAAAAACATCTCAAGTAAGCATGCTGACAACTTCAGTAAACTGCGCATGCGGCCCCTCCCAAGTGCTAGCAGGCCACTACCTATGCAGACAGCCCACCGCAAGGGAACAATAAGACACAGACCCTGGAAGCATGCTAACATATAAAACCCCAAGTCAAAAGGTCAAGTAGTGCACTCGAATCTCTCAAGTTGCCCGCTTGGCCCTCTTCCAAGTGCACTTTACTTCCTTTTACTCCTGCTCTAACACTTTTTAATAAATTTTCACTTCTTCTCTAAAACTTGCTTTGATATCTCCTCTCTCTCTGCCTTATTCTCCTCAGTACAATTATTTCTTTGGAGGAGGAAAGAATTGAGGTTGCTCAGACACATATGGATTTTCTGCAGCTAACAAAATAACAAGTTGCATTACAGTGTTGTGCTTTGGAGTAAAAAACCCTATTTATGTTTCACATTCTGGCCAGTGCATCTACATTTATTTCACACTGGAAAATAAGTGCTGACTCATTTTCTTTTCTTTTTTTTTTTTTTTTTTGAGACTGAGTTTCACTCTTGTTGCCCAGGATGGAGTGCAATGGTGCGATCTCGGCTCACTGCAACCTCCGCCTCCTGGGTTCAAGAGACTCTTTTGCCTCAGCCTTCTGAGTAACTAGAATTGCAGGTGCATGCCACCTTGCCTGGCTAATTTTTTTGTATTTTTTAGTAGAGACAGGGTTCTGCCATGTTAGCCAGGCTGGTCTCAAACTCCTCAGGTGATCCAACCTCCTTGGCCTCCCAAAGTGCTGGAATTATAGGCCTGAGCCACCACCCCTGGATGTGCTGTTTCATTTTCTAGCCCTGAGAGAGTAAACTGGATCTTTTAATTTTCACTCAAAAGTGTCAGCACAAAATTATTATTTTCCATTTAAAACTCTAGAAACATGCTTCTATGTTGACACTAAAATTTGGTGCTATTTTTTTAAAGATTTATTTTTCAATCCCTCTTTAAAGGCAATTGTATTAGTCCGTTTTCATGCTACTGATAAAGACATACCCAAGAGTAAGCAATTTACCAAAGAAAGAGGTTTAATGGACTTACAGTTCCACATGACTGGGGAGGCCTCACAATCATGACAGAAGGCAAGGAGGAGCAAGCCACATCTTACATGGATGGCAGGAGGCAAAGAGAGAGTTTGTGCAGGGAGACTCCCCCTTATAAAACCATCAGATCTCATGAGACTTATTCTCTATCATGAGAAAAGCACTAGAAAGACCTGCCCTGATGGCTCAATTACCTCCCACTGGGTCACTCTCACAATACATGGGGATTCAAGATGAGATCTGGGTGGGGACACAGCCAAACCATATCAGCAATGATGATGAACAAAATTATTTTTGGAGGAAAATATTTTTTACTGCAGTAATCTTAAATTTGTTCATGGCTCCTGTTCATTAAATTAGAAATATTTTCCCAATCCAGCAGCCAAATTATCATGCTGGAATTGGCAAATAAAATCTTAACAGAAAAATGTTATGTAGAATTATTTATAAGCACTTTGTAAATAATTTAACCAGCACTACTGTGAATGTTTGAGTTGCTACCATTTTCTTTATCTTTTATGACAAAATCAGTAAGAATTTTCATCAGACCAATTTGGACATGCTGCTTCTATCCACTTTCTTATTCATCATTTAGAGTAATAGTTTGGCTGTCTCCTTATTGTGATGATAACCATGACACAAAGGCATATGGCTCGTGGCTTGGTATCTGCAGGTTGCAGGTATCAACTGTGATATAATCATTAACAAGCACTGATAATCTAATGGGCAGCAGGTTGCTCTTTAGGTCATAAGTGCATGTGCATCTCCACTCTACTACTTAATATTGCAAGAACTTCTGGTACTGCTCTCAGTGCTCCAGTTTGAAGGGAGAGGAAATAGTGCCAAGATGCACATTTTGTTTATTTCAATTCTGTCACCCCACTGCAAAATGGTTATCTATCTGACTGTCTTCCACTCTGCCTTCTGTCTCCAACCTTTCTTCAGAGTATATATAGTGGGGGTGGTGTTAGGGGGTCACTATGGTCTATATTTAGTATTATGGAAGAAAGGAGCAGTATTCCAATTTCTTTTCTTCATGGCTTCTCATGTATAACGTTATAGATTCCTGTATATTCCTATAGAGAGTTTCTTCTTGTGATATGATTGTCGAATTCTGAGATAGGAATCATCAAATCTTGTTTCTGGCCATGTTTGAGAGCTAGTTATCTTAGGTTGTCCTTTTGTTGAAACTTATGAGAAGAATATTCTTTGAATTGTAATTTAGGGGGGAAGCAAAAATGAAACATACATGGCATATATGTAGCATATAGGAAGCAATGCCTTTAGAATTCTCCATTTTTCAAACTTCATCTCCACAATTATACCTGTGGTCTTGTTGACTTGATGAATTATGCTCCTAAGGTTTTCACATATTAAAAATGATTTTTCTTGACCATATGCTGCCCGACTACCACACCACTCCTCTTCTTACATTTTGTAGCAAAACTCCCAGAAAGAGTTGCCTATACTTACTTGACTTTCTTGTGAACTTACTTCAATTAAGCTTTTGTCCCATCTGTCCAAAGATCCTATTCTTATAAAGGTGGCCAGTTATTCATATTTCTAAGTCCAAAGGTCAATTCTCTTAGTTTTCTTCCTACATCATTTACTCCTCCTTGACAGTTTCCTTCAGAAGTTCCTCTTCATCTGTCAAGCCTACATTGGAATGTCTGAGGGCTAAATCCTTGGGCTTCTTTTCTTTTTTAATCACTGCTTTGGTGATTCTGTCCAATTTCATGACTTTAAACACAATCTATAGGCTTATTATTCCCAAATTTATACCTCCAGCCTGTACCTCTCTCCTAGATTTCAGACTGTATATTTCACTGCTTACGCAACATCTTCAGTGGATGTCTTACAAGTACCTCAAAATTTGCATGATCATCTCCCCTACCTAAATTCTCCTTCTAGAGACTTTTATTTCTTTGTTTTTGAAAACCTTTTATTTTAGGTTCAGGGGTACATGTGCAGGTTTGGTATACAGGTAAATTGCATGTCATGGGGGTTTGGAGTGCAGATGATTTCACCCCTCACTAGATAAACATAATACCAGATATGTAGTTTTTTGATCATCTCTCTCCTCCCACCCTCCACCCTCTAGCAGGCACTGGTGTCTGCTGTTCCCTTCTTTGTGTCCTTGTGTACTCAGGGTTTAGCTCCAACTTATTAGTGAGAACATGCAGTATTTGGTTTTATGTTCCTGCATTAGTTTGCTTAGGATAATGGCCTCCAGCTCCATCCATGTTGCTACAAAGAATATGATCTCATTACTTTTGTGGCTGTGAAGTATTCTCTGCTATATATTTACTGCATATTCTTTATCCAGTCTATCACTGATGAGCATTTCTGTCGATTCCATGTCTTTGCTATTGTGAAAGTCCTGCAAGGAACATATGCACTCATGTGTCTTTATGATAGACTGATTTATAGTCCTTTGGCCATATATCCAATAATGAGATTGTTGGGTTGAATGGTAATTCTGTTTTAAGTTCTTTGAGAAATCACCAAACTGCTTTCCACAGTGGCTGAACTAGTTTAAATTCCCACCAGCAGTGTATAAGTGTTCCTTTTTCTCCGCAGCTTCACCAGCATCTGTTATTTTTGATTTTTTATTGATAGCCATTTTGACTGGTGTGAGATGGTGTCTCATTGTGATTTTGACTTGCATTTCTCTAATAATTGATGGTGTTGAGCATTTTTTTTTCATATGTATGTTGTCTGTGGGTATGTCTCCTTTTGAAAGACGTCTGTTCAGGTCCTTTGCTTACTTTTTGTTGGGGATGTTTGTTTTTGGTTTCTTAATCTGTTTACATTCCTTATAGATTCTAGATATTAAATTTTTGTCAGATGCATACTTTGCAAATATTTTCTCCCATTATGTAGGCTGTCTGTTTACTTTGTAGATTGTTTCCTTTTTAGTTTTTTTTTTAATTTTTATCTTTTATCCGTACATTGTAGGTGTATATATTTGTGGGGTACATGGGATGATTTAATAAAAGTATGTAATGAAATAAGCACATCATGGAGAATGAGGTATCCATCCCCTCAAGCACTTACCCTTCGAGTTACAAACCAGTTACTCTCTTTAAGTTACTTTAAAATTTACAATTAAGTTATTATTGACAATAGTCATCTTGTTGTGCTATCAAATAGTAGGTCTTATTCATTCTTTCTATCTATACTTTGTACCCACTAACCATCACCAACTCCCTCCCCTGACCCTCCCACTACCCTTATCACCCTCTGGTAGCCTTCTTTCTATTCTGTATGTCTATGAGTTCAATTGTTTTGATCTTTAGATCCCCAAAATAAGTGAGAATATGCTATGTTTGACTTTCTGTGACTGGCTAATTTCACTTAAGGTAATGATCTCCAATTTGATCCATGTTGTTGGAAAGTTTTTTGTTCTGTGTCTGACTTATTTCACTTAAAATGATAAATTCCAGTTCCATCCATGCTGTTGCAAATGACAAGATCTCATTCCTTATCATAGCTGAATAGTAATCCATTGTGTATATGCACCACATTTTCTTCATCCATTCTTCTGTTGGTGGATACTTAGATTACATACAAATCTTAGCTACTGTAAACAGTGCTGCAAAAAACGTAGGAGTGCAGCTATCTCTTCGATTTACTGGATTCATTTCTTTTGGGTATATACCCAGCAGCAGGACTGCTGGATCATATGGTAACTCAATTTAGATTTTCAGGAATCTCCAAATTGTTCTCCACAGTGTTTGTACTAATTTACATTCCCACCAACAGTTTACGAGGGGTCCCTTTTCTTCACAAACTTGCCAGCATTTGTTATTGCCTATCTTTTGGATATAAGCCATTTTAATTGTGGTGAGAAGCTATCTCATTGTAGTTTTGATTTGCATTTCTCTGATGATCAATGATGTTGAGAACTTTTTCATGTGTCTGTTTGCTATTTGCATGTCTTCTTTTGAGAAATGTCTGTTCAAATCTTTTGCCCTTTCTTTGATCAGATTATAAGATTTTTTTCCTATACAGTTGTTTGAGTTTATTATATATTCTGGTTATTAATCCCTTGCCAGATGGGTAGTTTCCAAATATTTTCTCCCATTCTGTGGGATGTCGCTTCACTTTTTTGATTGTATTCTTTGCCATGCAGCAGCTTTTTAATTTGATATAATCCCACTTGTCCATTTTTTTTTTCCTTTGATTGCCTGTGGTTGTGGGGTATTGCTCAAGAAATTTTTGCCAAGAACAATGTCCTGGAGATTTTCTCCAAAGCTCTCCTGTAGTAGTTTCATAGTTTGAGGTCTTAGATTTCTGTCTTTCAATCCATTTTGATCTGATTTTTGTGTATGGTGAGAGACATTGGTCTGATATTTCATTCTTCTGCATATGGATATTCAGTTTTCCCAACACCATTTATTGAAAAGAATGTGTTTTACCCAGTGTATGCTGTTGGTAACTTTGTCAAAAATAAATTGGCTGTAGGTGTGTGAATTTGTTTCTGGGTTTTCTATTCAGTTCCATTGGTTTATGTGTCTATTTTTATGCCAGTACCATTCTGTTTTGGACACTATAGCTCTGTGGTATTATTGAAAGTCAGGCAATGTGATTCCACCAGTTCTGTTCTTTTTGCTTAATTGCTTACAATTAAGTTCTTACAAACTTAATTGTAAATTTTAAAGTAACTTAAAGAGAGTAACTGGTTTGTAACTTCGGCCATTCTGGGTCTTTTGTGTTTCCATATAAATTTGAGGATTGTGTTTTCTAATTTTGTGAACAATGTCATTGGTATTTTAATACAGATTGCATTGAATTTATAGATTACTTTGGGTAGTATGGACATTTTAACAATATTGATTCTTTCAATCCATGAACATAGAACATTTTCCCACTTTTTAGTGTCCTCTTAAATTTTCTTCATCAGCATTTGATACTTTTCGTTATACAAATCTTTCATTTTTGTGGTTAATTACTAGGCATTGAATTTTATGTGTCACTATTGTGATATTGATAATGAGATATCTTTTTTGATTTCTTTTTCACATTGTTCACTGTTAGCCTATAGAAACGCTACTGCTTTTTGTTTGTTTACTTTGTATACTGCAACTTTACTGAATTTGTTTATCAGTTCTAATAGTTTTCTTGTGGAGTCTTTAAAATTTTCCAAATATAAGACCATATCATTTGCAAACAAGGATACTTTGACTTATTTCTTTCCAATATGGATGCCCTTTATATCTTTCTTTTGTCTGATTTTTCTAGCTAGGACTTCCAGTACCATGTTGAGTAACAATGGTGAAGTGGGCATCCTTGTCATGTTCCAGATCTTAGAAGAAAAGCTTTCATGTTTTCCCCTTTCAGTGTGATACTAGCTGTGGGTCTGCATAAAATCCCCATATATATATTCCATTAGTTCTGTCCTTCTAGAGAACCCTGACTAGTACAGATTTTGGTACCAGGAGTGGTTCTAGAGGAACAGAATATTAAGAATGGAGTTCTTTCATTGGTTTTGGGGTTTCTACAGTTGGCTGCTTAATATGATTAGACCCCCAAATGCTAAAGATTTTACTTTTAATAGTATGGAGAACGCTGATAGTTCTTGGGGTGAACTGTTTAGAAAGTTATGCAAAATAAATGCATTTGACACTCCTGATTCACTACTTGTGAGAAGCAAGGAATTTAGTGACTCTATACATAATACTTTGACCATATATGGAGAACCAAGGAACATAATGAAGCTGGTTGGTTGCTCTTAAGTGGACAAAGTGATGAAAGAAAATGATGAACTAAAGGATTCTATCTCCCGGCTTCAGAAGGAGATACTGAGCCTCAAATCTGCTAAGATCGCCCTGAGTGAGAGTCTCGGCTCCTGTAGAGAAAGAGCTGAAATTGTGGAAAAACAAACACAAGCTCTTATTATGCAAGTGGCTGACCTGCAATGAAAAGTGCATGCACAGCCTTGCCAGGTGTCTACTGATAAAGTGAGGGCATTGATTGGAAAAGAATAGGACCCTGAAACTTGGAACGGGGATGCGTGGGAGAACCGTGATGAAGCTGAAACACTGAGTTTATAAACTCTGATGAACCTTTCTTGCCAAAAGAAACAGCCTCCCCATCCCCAGTAGTGGCAACATCCCCTCCCTAACCCATGCTGCCATCAGCCTTTCCACCTTTGTTTGAGGAGATAAACCCTGCACTGCCTAAGGCAACAATTATGGCCTCCCCTGAGGCAGGCACCAGGCAAGATAATGTTGATTCTCCTCAGGAGCGATCCCCAACAAGCCTGTTTGCTTCTAAACCTATAACTAGACTAAAGTCCTGGTGGACACCTAGGGATGAGGTTGAGAGTGTGACCCATGAGGAGGTGTGCTACACTCGAAAAGAACTGCTTGGGTTTTCTAATTTATATAAACAGAAATCTGGAGAACAGGCAAGGGAGTGAATATTAAGGGTGTGGGATAGTGGGAAGGAATATAGTGTTGGATCAGGCTGAATTTATTGATTTGTGCCCACGAAGTAGGGACTCTACATTTAATGTTGTTAAATGTAACAATGCTGTTAAATATTGTTGTAAATTTTCCAGCTCTAAGAGATCTGTCTGGTTCCTTCTTAAAACGGCTATTTTGCATTTCATCTCTTGTATATTTTTATTGTATTCCTTAGATTCTTTGGATTGGGTTTTGACTTTCTCCTGAATCTTGATCCCCATCCATATTCTGAATACTATGTTGGTCATTTCAGCCATTTCAGCCTGGTCTAAAACTATTTCTGGGGAACTAGTGTGGTTGTTTTGAGGTAAGCAGACACTCTGGGTTTTTGAGTTGCCAGAATTCTGGTGCTGTTTCTTTCTCATTTGTGTGGGCTGATGTTTCTTTAATATTTGTAGTTGCTGTCCTTTGGGTGGGTTTTTTTTTTTTTTTTGGTATTTATATTCTTTGATGCCCTTGAGAAGTTCATTGTGGCGTAAGTAGGGTTCAGTCAACTGGTTTCATTTCTGGAAGATTTCAGGGGGTGAGGGCTCAGCTTAATCACTTCTGGGCTGTGTGGTCTAACCCTGGGGGATGGGTATCAGACTCCCAGCTTTGTTTTCTGGCCTCTCAAGGTTAGAAAACTGCTGCACTTGGGAGGATGAGATGTTCCTAGTCCATGAGCAGCAACAACCTAATGGCTGGTGCCAGCCAAAGTGCTTTATTGGGGCAGTGGCAGTGGGATGCATGCTTGCATATACATGCCAGCAGCCAAACTTTCCATATTGGTACTAGCAATGAAATGCTGAGAATAAAATAACTTTGGAGCCAACCTCATCTTCTGTTTTCCTCTCACATGAACTAACAAATCCCTCAGTAAACTGTTTTGTCTCTACATTCAAAATATATCCAGAATCAGGCCACTTTTCACCACTTCCATTGCTGCTACCCTGATCCAAGGCACTGCAACTCTCACATCACATTACTGCAGTTGTAATTTGACTATTGTTTCTGCCTCAGTTTCTGCTCCCCTCCAGTGTGTTATTTACCAGTATCTAGAGTGATACTTTGAGACATAAATCAGGTTATATCTCTTTTCTGTTCAGAATCCTTCAGTGGCTTTCCATCTCCAGAGGCTTCCTATCTTCTCAGAAGCTTCAATTTTAAATCCTTAAAATAGCCTATAAAGTCTTACATGATCTGGACCCCTTTAATTCTCTGATTGTATCGTCTACTACATTCCCTTTCATTCCCTTTGCCTCAGCCACACTCAATCAAGGTATTTATATTTACTGTTGTCTCTGGCTATAATGATCTGTCCTCAGACAGCAGCATGGTTAGCTCCCTCATCTACTATACAAATATTGCCTTCTATGATACCTTTTATGGTCACCTTATTTTAAATAGAATGTCTTTAGTCTCCACTAACACAGACCATCCCTCTTTTCTGGTCTATTATTTCCATAACACTTATTACAATGTAACATTAAATAAATAGGTAATAGACATTAATATGCAAACATAACATTATATATGTGTATATACATATTTATTATTAGCCTCATTACCTATTTCCTCCAACTAATATAGTCTCCATAAGAGCAGGCAATTTTGTCTCTTTTATTTACTGGTGTATATTTAGCATCTAGAATACCCCCTGGCACATAGTAAAATGTCAATAAATGTTTGTGAAATGGTTGAAATAAAAATGAAAATATTGGCGAGGCATGGTGGCTCACACCTGTAATAGCACTTTGGGAGGCCAAGGCGGGTAGATCACCAGTTCAGGAGTTCAAGACCAGCCTGGCCAAGATGGTGAAACCCCGTCTCTACTAAAAAAACAAAAATTAGTTGGGTGCAGTGGCAGGTGCCTGTAAACCCAGCTACTTGGGAGCCTGAGGCAGGAGAACCGCTTGAACCCAGACAGCAGAGGTTGCAGTGAGCTGAGATCACGCCACTGCACTGCCACCTGGGTGACAGAGTGAGACTCTGTCTCAAAAAAAAGAAAAAGAAAATATTATTAAGGTTCTAGTTTCTCGGGGCATAATGAATGTCTGTGGCATTTACAGAGAATAGTATTCATTTAATAATTCATATATTGGGCTGTGACTTTCTTTTCTATAGTCCTAAACTAGTAGTTAGTTGTTTTATTACTACCTAACATTGCATGTGTTTGACTTATTTCTAAACTTACTGAAGAAACCATTCTTCCATTTTTGGCTCAATATCACTAATCATCAGATAAATGCAGACAAAAACTACAATGAGATATCACCTCACCCCAGTTAGAAGGGCTATTATCAAAAAGACAAAATATTAATAATAAATGCTGGCAAGGATGTGGAGAAAGGGATACTCTAATACTCTGTTGATGGGAATGTAAATCAGTACAGCCATTATGGAAAACAGTATGGAGGGATCTCAAAAAAATAAAAATAAAACTACCATATGATCCAGCTATACCAATACTGGGTATATATGCAAAGGAAATGAAATCAGTATATCAAAGAGACATCTGCACACCCAGGTTTGCTGCAGCACTATTCACAATAGCAAATATATGGAATCAACCTAATTGGCCATCTACAAATGAATGGATTATACTTTTGATGTCTTTGTACACCATGCTTAATGACTATTTGATGATGCATATAAATTAAAGGTTACTCAAATCCATATTTTTTTATTTTAATTCCCCCTTTAAAAAACTTTAAATGAAATGTATATATGTTACCTGGGGCATCTTGATAGACATTGCCTATTTTTATTTATACTAAAATAGATACTATTGTCATTAAAGTTGCAGATCACAGTTTATACAGTCAAAGGAATGTGGCAAGGGATGACAGCAGAAAGTGGTGTTGACGAACTATTTATTTCAGAAAGGAAAACTGAAAATTTTCTTAGTAACCTATTTAAATATAACATTTTTATTTAGAGAGAGACAAAAATCACCTAGTAGGGGATTTATTTAAGCTATTTAAATGACATGAATGTTATAAATGCAGAATAAATAAATATAGAAAATATATATTTATTTGTATAGTTATTTGTATTCTCAACAAAACAGTGATGTTTTAGGATATAGGACATAATGTGAAACAGAACCAGAAAATAGAGAGTCACTTAATATCAGGAAGTGTGTCTTCCAATAAATTTTCAAAATTTGGTAAGCTTCCTTTCTCCCTGAAACCACTGATAACCCTCTTCTCTAGGGATTTTTTGATGTGCAGGGACAAGTGTGAAGGTATGCAGCCAACAGATACATGAAAAAATGCTCATCATCACTGACCATCAGAGAAATGCAAATCAAAACCACCATGAGATACCATCTCACACCAGTTAGAATGGCGATCATTAAAAAGTCAGGAAACAACAGGTGCTGGAGAGGATGTGAGAAATAGGAACACTTTTACACTGTTGGTGGGACTGTAAACTAGTTCAACCATTGTGGAAGACAGTGTGGCGATTCCTCAAGGATGTAGAACTAGAAATACCATTTGACCCAGCCATCCCATTGCTGGGTATATACCCAAAGGATTATAAATCATGCTGCTATAAAGACACATGCACACGTATGTTTACTGCAGCACTATTCACAATAGCAAAGACTTGGAACCAACCCAAATGTCCAACAATGATAGACTGGATTAAGAAAATGTGGCACATATACACCATGGAATATTATGCAGCCATAAAAAACAATGAGTTCATATCCTTTGTCGGGACATGGATGAAGCTGGAAACCATCATTCTCAGCAATCTATTGCAAGGACAAAAAACCAAACACCGCATGTTCTCACTCATAGGTGGGAATTAAACAATGAGAACACTTGGACACAGGAAGGGGAACATCACACACTGGGCCCTGTTGTGGGGTGGAGGGATGGGGGAGGGATAGCATTAGGAGATATACCTAATGTAAATGACGAGTTAATGGGTGCAGCACACCAACATGGCACATGTATACATATGTAACAAACCTGCACGTTGTGAGCATGTACCATAGAACTTAAAATGTAATAATAATAATAATAAAAACTTTTGTCCCAGACATTCTCCTTCACCAATGGGTAAACTCTTAAAGTCTAAAAAGTGTACTTGTTCAAGGAAAACCAGAGCTTTCCCATTTGTACACCATTCTCAGTTGACTTAAACTATATGTGGTACTATGGAATAAATATTAGTGTTCTCTCAAAATTCATATGTTGAAGCCGTAATCTCCAATGTTATGTTATTTGGAGGTGGGGCCTTTGGGAAGTAATTAGCTTCAGATGAGATTGGTGCACTTACAAGTGAGATTCAATATCTCTCTCTCTCCACCAAATGAGCAAACCTGGAAACAGGCTCTCACCAGACATGGAATCTGCCGGCACCTTAATCTTGGACTCTTGAGCCTCTAGAACTCTAAGAATAAAAAGTTTGCTGTTTAAGTCACTCCGTTTATGGTATTCTTGTTATAGCAGTCTAAACTGATTCAGACATGCTCTTTTGGAGTTTTTATGAAAGTAGTATGTGATTTCCTTTACCTCCTATATCTAGTGCCTATGACAGATAGTCTGGAAAAAAGCATGTTATAGTTATTAAGCAGGCAGGCTCTGAAGTCAGATGGCCTAGGTTCACATTAAGTTTCCACCACTTACTGAGTGACCTTGGGCAAATTCCTTCTCTCTATGCCACAGTTTTATCATCTTTAAAATGGACTTAACAATAGTATCTACCTGATAATGTGTATTTGAAGTTTAAATGAGTTAATAATTGTAAAGTCCTTAGAGCCATACCTGGCCCAAGATAAGATCTTATTAGATTTTGATTGTTGTCACATTTTTTAAAAAACATTTTTGATGTGAGAGAGTAGATAAGAACAAAATGTAAATGCAAATACAACACTTCCCTGGTAGAAACACAGTACTTAAGAAGTTTTATATTGGTATTAAATTTCTATTGTTTTGTTCTGCTTAATAACAGTATGAACTGAGCACATTATTAGCCTCTGAACATTTATTCATGTCACCTAAAACAGCAGTCCCCAACCTTTTTGGCAAAAGGGACTGGTTTCATGGAAGACAATTTTCCCACTGACAGTGGGGGAAAATAGTTTCAGGATGAAACTGTTTCACCTCAGATCATCAGGCATTAGTTAGATTCTCGTAAGGAGCCCACAGCCTAGATCCCTCGCATGCGCAGTTTACAATAGGGCTTGCACTCCTATGAGAATCTAATGTCGCTTCTGATCTGACAGGAGGTGGGGCTCGAGGAGTAATGCTCCCTTGTCTGTAGCTCCCCTCCTGTTGTGTAGCCTGGACCCTAACAGGCCACAGACCTGTACTGGTCCAAGGCCCAGAGGTTGGGGACCCCTGAACTAAAACACCTCATATCTTCACTCTATTTAAACACAACATATTCTTCCTCCAACACTTAACTCAGGTCCCACCTCTTCCACAAAGCCCTTCGAGACTACACAGTCCATTGCGCCTACTCTTAAAGCATCAATTGCCTTTACTAGTCATTTGCAAAGTAATCTTTTAATGCTTTGTGACATTCACTTTTCTGATGTCTTTATTGTTCCTAAATACACTATAAAGTCCCTATAGTGAGGGCCCTGTCTTTAACCTCTTTACATTCCTGTAGCACCTAGAACAGCGCATACATGGAAGATTCACCATAATCATTTGTTGATTATGTTTTACCCTATTCTATTTTGTACATGATAATAATACAATAAGATTGATTTCTGAAAGGTCCATATACAATAAAAGCCCTGTTGCCTAAGTTTATATTCATCACTGACGCACAAGTGTATGGTCATTCGTGTGTATACAAACATGCAGGCACACACAATTATAAATCCTGTCATGAATATAATTGCTTTTCTCAATGAACTTTTGTGAAATAAAACACAGCTAATGCCTCCCACTTACCATTTCCACTGAAATTATAGTTTGCAGCTTGTAGTGGGAAAGCACTATGTAAAGGATCCGAACCATTGTGTTCAGAAATGCCATTGATTGTCTTTATTACTAGAATAACAAACCCCCCAAAATATAACAGCAAGTAATATGATCATTTCCCTTGGCAGCACCATTAAACTTGGCAGTGAACTACTTCAAACAGCTGTAAGTGTTAAACATTAGTTCAGCCTTAAGTAGATTTGGCTATTTAATAGCCAAATGTGCACTGCAGTCTATCTGAATGTTAAAACCACCTTTCAAACTGAATTTTACAGAAATCTTAATGACCAGAACAAACTATTGAAGGCAAAAAGAAAAGTAATTATTTCAACAGATGAAAGGAAACAATAAACTAATGTTCATGTTTTAAAAGGGGGGCTGTGACTTCTCTTTTTAAAGGAAATGTTCTGAGCTCCAAATATGATGAAGATACTTAAGCTACTGTTTACATAGGAATTATTTGTATTTGCATATATAATTCTTGGAGGGGAGGGAATTAACAGCTTTTCTAAACTTGAGTTATTAAGTGAAACACCAGAAGAATATTTGTTTTCAAAAGGGAATTTCATTAGTTTTTTTTAAATTTTTGATTTTTAATTTTTGTGGGTACATAGTCTTTGTACACTGTTGGTGAGAATGTAAATTAGTACAACCACCGTGGAGAAGAGTTTGGAGGTTCCTTAAGAAATGAAAATTAAAGCTACCATGTGATTCAGCAATCCCACTACTGGGTACATACCCAAAAGAAGGGAAATCATTAGTTTGTAAATGCCTAATTTAGACATTTTCTACAATGATTAGAGCTAGGAATGAATCACAAAGTTAAATGGGCATGATCAGAAAGGGAAAAGGAAATGACAAAAGCTGATGCAAAAAGGCTTTGATATGTGGTGGTGGTGGTGAGGTGGTAAAGATGGATTGCGAATTTGAAGTCCAATGCATTTCATTGCCTTTTCCCAGTGCCACCAATGGGTAACTGTGTGAATGTGTTGAAATTCTAAACCAATAGACAAAATACATAACTAGTGAAAAAAATAATGGTCTTGGAATTGTTCTCATTATTGCCTTGTAGATATTTATAAGTTAAAGGTATAAATTTAAATTATAAAATTGTAAAAATGATCACATCACCATAGTAAAAAATACTTTGAAGGAAATGAACAATTATTTACTAATAAAATATACTTAGCCAAAATCAGATTTGTGTTAAACCAAGCTTGAAGTATATGCATTATATATAAAATAGTCTTCAACACTTCATTCTGTCAGAATTTTTTCCTTAAGGAGCAATTTAATTTTGCTGCACTAAAGCCAATGTCTAAATTTTACTCTCAAAATTCCACATAGAAATACAAGCAATGAAAACTAAGCTAATACCTAGGTATTCTCCCCTAAGCATTTGTGTCTTTAGCCAAGATTTACAATTTCTTCTTAAACAGGATAAGGAACTCTTTCAGATTCTACTACGTTGCCAGTAAAAACAGGAACCTTCTTTACAGAGCATTAAATAGGTTCTACTGGATTAAAAAATTAAAATGAGGTGAACTGACCACAATTTAATCAGGTTCCTTAGGTTAGGAAAATCACCGGTTTAGTTACAAATAATTTAAGGTTGGATTTGTGGAAGAAATTTTAGTTTCCTCAGTCAGATTTTAAGCCCTTGGCAAGCAGGAAATAGATCTGTGTGGTTCAGGTACTTCCACGGAAGCACCTGATTGAATGCTCCATGTCTGTGGGCTTACAGGATGTTTTCTTTAAAACAATAATAGCACAAATATGACTGTCTTATATAGTAGGAAAAAACTGTCCTCAAGGGGCTTAGGAATTCTCTAAATGTCTTTTACTGATGATGATGTGACTCCCTTGAGGCAATTCAGCCCCAGATTTCATTTCACACTGTGTGTCTATGGAAGCCGCTTTGGAACACTAGTTCTATGCAATGGAAGTAGAAATATACCCTGTCATATTTCTGGCAATTAAAAAGGGAATAATAACTCTGACAATGCATTTTCCCTTTATGTTTCTCACTCTTCCCAAACACAATATTCTTTGTTTTCATTCTTTTATTTTAAATTTTTACCCTACTTGCAAGCTGGATAAATACAGTATTCTATCTCCACTATTCCTAGATGAAAGGAAAAACACTCATGCGTTACTTTTAATGATTTCACAATCTCTAAGTTTTCATGGTTTTCTTAGTTATATATAATGAAGATGAATGAGTACTTTGCACTTGGTACAGTATAAATACTTCTATAAGGTTAAAATTGGGAGCAATAAAAAATAAACTAGGTTTGTAAACCCAGCAGGAGTAGTTGGAACTGGAACTGACTTCAAGCTTCTTGCTATTGGGACAGTTAAATGTTCTAAGACAAATAGTTATTTGTTCTACTAATTCAGTCTCCAAGTATTCTTTGTTGGTTTTGGTAAGCATAATATTATACTAAGCACAATAATAATAGTAATAGTTATAAAGGTGCCAAGTCCTGTGCTAAGCATTTAACATTAATTATCTCCTTTATTCCTCATACCAACATCATAAAACAGGTACTATCATTCCCACATTTTCTAGCTAAGGAAACAGGCATTGAAAGTTAAAAGATGCTTGCCCAAATTCACAGCAAGGCTCAGAATTGAATCCAGTTCTGTCTCACTCTAGATTCTGCACTGTTAGCAACTTAACTACACAGCATAATCCCTAGCTTGTAGTACGCTGAACTGATATACCAACATTTCACAAACAGAGTTATCTTCTGAAAAAGAACAGACACTGGAATGATGAGGCTTTGGTTTTTGAGTTTTCCTTGAAGTAAAAACTCTCAATAATGTTTGCTAATAGGGACATACCTAAGCTATGTGTATAAGGAGGTGAATGGAATTCAGGAAACCGAGAGATAAAAAACATGACATTTACTTGTATTCTAGCAGGGTACACGCTTATTTAAAAACAATGTAAAATGCAGCCTTCCACAAAAGAAGCAGCGTCATGAGAAAACTTGGGTTTCAAGTTTTGTGAACGCTGCATTTTCAATATTATGGTGTCAGTCTTCATTCACTCTTTGACAAGGTTGTCAATCAAATAGCAATCTAGTTTTGTGAGACATTAAACAAAGATCAAAGCAATGATACTGCTGAGTTAACATTATCTTCCCACTTAAACACTTTCATACTTTAGCATCAGTATTAACTTCAAACTCATCTTTCAAAGCAAACAAAATGGTAGAAACTTTAGTATCACCCTTTCCCATGGAAACCATAATTGCTAACTCTTATTCAAATATCTTTGAAACATTTCTTTCAATTTGAAATTTAATGAAATGCAAGAAGCCTTTTTAGTGTCTATTTATATATTTTACATTTTTTTAGCAGTAAGAAGTAATGCAGTTAAACATGGAGTATCATTTTCATTCTCACTTTAGAACAATGGCAAATGAAAGGCATCAATAATCAATTTAGTAAGTGAGGAAACTCAGAAAATAAATGCAGTGGAAAAATAACTTCTGTATCCTCATCAGCAAACTGACTTATAGGCAGAGCTAAGCCTAACTCCTGGATATTATGTCAGCACAAGCCTCGCTTTTAAGCAAACCATGTGAGATTTCTGTGATACTCATATGAAAAGGATATGAATATTTTTGTTTACAATTTCAAAACTATGCCCTGGTAAACGTCACCAAAACCCCCCAAATCTACCACAAAAGTAAAGTAGACAAAATATGGGATGTAAACACACATTTATGTGATATATTATCTTTTTCCTGGGAAGGAGGCACTGAATGCTTCAATAAATTCCTTTTCTTAATAGCATTTTGTAAGTACCATTGGGGCATATGACACTGTATTAGGTGTTACCACATTAACTGAAAATAAGAACATAGTCCTCAAGGAATGTTCTGTATCTTAACTGTGCTTGTTATATACAAAGGCCTCACAACATGTTAGAACTAAATAATGTTGAATTAATTATTTGGTTATAGATAAAATTTGCCCAAAGTGTGATATTTTCCCCGGAAAAATAAGGAATGTAAATATATTTGAAAGTTCAACCTTGTCACTTTACCAAATAATGATAGAAACTGTCAGGTGAGAAACATACTCTGGCTATCTCTGAGTAAAGGAATTGATAGATTTATAAATGCATCTTTTATGTAAAATTTGGAGGTGACAGTTGGGCAAGGAGGAAAGGCAGTATTTTGTTTTATGTTTTCAGTTGACTAGGAAAGATGAGCTAATCTGACATGGAGAAACCAGAGGGAAGTCAAATAAATTGCTGACAACTACCTCAAGTCAAAATCAGCCAAGAGCTCTCCATGATTCCTCAAAATATGTTCTGAACTAAGGTGTCTAGCACTTAAGTATCCTTCAACACATTGAAATTAGGATGCTATCTTGGACTCCACAGGTTTTTTAGAGCCAAGTATAACTCATCACAATAATTTTGCTGTAGAAATATAGCCCACCTACATGAATATGTGGTATATTAGTGCTTGAATGAAAAAAAAAAATGAGTGGCTCTTATTACATCATTGATGAATGTCTTTGTGCGCTTTAAAATTTCTGGTGACTTCACTCTGTATTCTCCATATAAAATGAGGACAGTCTAAAGGGCCATTGTAATTGCACTTTTCTTTTTGCTTTTTTTTCTTATCTTTTTTATTTTTTATTTATTTTTTTTATAGAGAAGGGGTCTTGCCATGTTGCCCAGTCTGGTTGCGAACTCCTGGGCTCAGACAATCCTCCCGCCTCAGCCTCCCAAAGTGCTGGGATTACAGGTGTGAGCCACCACGCCTGGCCTATAATTGCACTTTTGTACCATTGATACACCAGAGAAATCTCACAAAGCTTCTGTTATCATTTAAGGTTTCAAAACCAGTAACAGCATTTTGTCATTAAAATAATAAACGTGACTTTTAAGGTGAAATAACTTTATCCCAACCTACTCTGACATTGCGAAGAATATAAAAAGGTTTATGTCTTTGATTCCTAGATGATTATATGACTATATGCCTATATGACTACAGATACATGCACCTAGAATTTAAAAAAAGTATAAAGTAATATTATAATGTTCTAAGTCATCTCAGATGAGCTAGTCCTATACATACCCCAGCACTTTTCTAAAAATTAGTTGTAGTACAGTTTGAAAAATGGTAATGTGGTACCTCCAACTTTCTTTTTGTTTAAAATTGCTTTGGTTATTTGGGCTCTCTTTTAGTTCCATGTGAATTTTAGAATAGCTTTTTCTAATTCTGCACAAAATGACAGTGGTAGTTTGATAGAGATTGCACAGGATGTGTAGATTGCTTTAGGTAGTATGGGAATTTTAACCATATTCTATATTCTTTCAATCCATGAGCATGGAATGCTTTTCCGTTTACTTGTGTCATCCACGATTTCTCTCAGCAGTGTTTTGTAGTTTTCCTTGCAGAGATCTTCTACCTTGTTGGTTAACGTATTCCTAGATATCTATTTTGTTGGTGAATTTGTCATAGATGGCTCTTATTTTTTTGAGATATGTCCCTTTGATGCCTAATTTGTTGAGCATTTTTATAATGAAGGGACGTTGGATTTTATCTAATTCTTTTTCTGCATATATTGAGATGATCTTTTTTTTTGTTTTTAATTCTGTTCATATAGTGAATCAAATTATTGATTTGCATAGTTGAATCAACCTTGCATCCCAGGAATAAAGCACACTTTATCATGGCAAATTAACTTTTTGATGTGCTGGTGGATTAAGCGAATTAACACAGAAACAGAAAACCAAATATTGCGTGTTCTCACTTACAAGTGAGAGTTTAGTGAGCTAAACTTTGAATACATACAGACATAAAGATGAAAACCATAGACACTATGGACTCCAAAACAGGGGAAGTATAGAGGAGGTGAGGACCAAAAGTTTTCTGTTGGGTTTTATGTTCACTATTTGGGTAACAGGACCAATAAAGGCCAAACCACAGGAACATGCAACATACCCTTTTAAGAAACCTGCACATGCTTCCCAAATCTAAAATAAAAGCTAATAAATAAATAAATATAATTACTTTGGGACACTGACATTAATAATAATGAAATTCTGCTGAACACCCAATCTTTCTCTTTACCATTACAATGATAATAAGTGTAAGTGGCCCTACAAAAAAATCCATGAATCGCTTTCGAATTATTAAACATGATGAGATAATTCATAGTTAACTTTGGTTTGAATCTGCATATGATCTGTAACTTAGAAATAGAATTGCATATGCTAACCTACAGGGAAAATATTCATTGTGATATATTATAAAGCCGATTCTTAATTATCCACACAAAGGGAAAATACCAAAGAAAAGAAAATCCAATACAGGGAATAATCCAAAACAGTAAATTCTTTTGATTGTGAATTATATGATACTATTTTTAAGAGGATTTTCAATTGTAATTACTTTGCTTAAACATGAACTTGCCCCAAATCCCAATTTTCACAGAAAACACAGCTTTAGTTTTTTCCTCTTCTAATCTATCCTGCAAATGACCAACAGATATACCTTCCAAAAACAGTGCTTTGAGCACAGTACTCTAAGACCTGTGAGATATATTATTAAACCTTTACCCTGAACTTGCTAACACTCAAGTTAGAATCTTACTAACTCTCTATAGCTGTATCTCCTGACTTTTCCTGGCATTTCATCTACAAGCCACCAGCGAATGAACCATTTTTTTAGTAAAAACAAACAAACAAACAAACAAAAAACAAACAACAAACAAACAAACAAACAAAACCCCATCAGACTTATTGTCTGTAACATACTTTATGAAGATGGTCAGGCAGTGTGGTAGAGGGGAAAGAACTTGGAACACTTGGGTTCAAATTCTGGTGTTGTGCTTATTAGCAGTGTCAAAGTGGTCAAATTCCAATAACCTTTCTCTTCTCCAATTTTCTCACCTAGTTCTTTGAATGGAATTCACCAATGAAGCATTTTTTGTGTATTTGTTTATTGCCTAATTCATCCAGTATAATGAAGGGTAGCCTAGACCAACTGAGATATGCTGAGATATAAATTTGCCAAAGAGAATATACACAGTGGCAAATAACAGAAAAGGTCTAAATTAAGTGTTGACATCAGCGTGTCACTCTATAATTTGGTTAATAGTACCTGAGTAGAAATGTCTAAAAGCATACACACTAATTAATTATGCAAATACATTCTCAGACCACCTACCAACCTGCATTTCTGGTAGGTACCCTCCTTCCTTGATGCTTTCTAGGGAAAATGCAAATATCATTTGATATTGGGGACATTTCTTTCTCTGTGATATTATGCTCAAACTAGGAAGGAAAGAGAGGAACATATGTTTAAATAATGCCATAAGTAAAATACAAATTAACAGTAGTATAGGAAACAAATACTGCTTCAGAGGTTCTAGCCAACGAGTTAATCCCCTGTTTACACCTTATGAAGCCCATGAATAGATAAAGCACAAAAGTTCAAGCCTCAGTGATATTGATTTCCCCATAATAGCAAAATTCTATGGTCAATTAAATCCCTAATGTTAAATTATTAAAGATAACTGTTCACTGCCGTGAATCATTGGATATAGGTCAGGTATACAAAAGATTAGACAACTGATTATTTAGGACATGAGTGACAATTTCATAAAAACTTGTTTCTGCTATTTTACAAAACGGGGCAAAAGAAAATTTAAATGTATCACTAGAATATATCAAACCATATTGAACAGCTGCAAATGAGAGGCTGATTTGCTCATCAGCTATCCATTTCTTTCAACTGTGGGTATTAAGGATATAAGTAAGACTCTGTGAATGCCACTAGGAAAAAGAAAAAAAAATCCTGGACTCAAGATGTTTAGAATCTTGTTGGCGGGAAAAACTAGGGAAGTTTGAAATTAGTAAGAACAACTCACAGAGGAATATAACATGGAGAAAATATGAATACTGGTAAAATATTCCAGTAATTGGGCCTTGAAAGCCTGATTGGGATTTCAATAAATAAGGTTTGAGGGTAAGACTTTTTCAAACTTAGTCAATAGCAAGAATGAAATGGCAATGTATCAAACATAAATGTGGTGCACATTCAGCAAACAATTTTTAATCTAGTTTGGTGTAGGAAGAAAAGACAAGGCTAGAGAGAGAATTTGAAGATGTGGTTAAAGCAGTGATGTGTTGGAACTGGTTCACACCTCCTTGCAAGAGCTTACTATTAGCATCTCTTCCCATGTCTGCATTCACTGACATCACGCTGTTAGCTTGAATTTGGCCGTGGTGGGAAAACTTACATCATCGAATTCAGCAAATGCTGCAAATCAGGGTTTTGTATTTATTTGGGTTGGGAGAGCCAGTTAACAAACATAGCACACTACTATTTTAATAATTTGAATGCCAGGGTCATAAAAATATTTATTTCAGAATACAATTAGGAACGATTTACGAACTTTTAACAGAGGAATGATTAGATTTAGGAGTCATCTACTGAAATCAGAAAGTTAAAGGTGTGGGCATGGGCAGAATTTCCAAGAAAGAAAGTACTTACAACAGTTCTGATGAAAGAGTTCTGGGTACATCTTGGCTTGGAGAAGAAAGGAGAGAAGCTTACTGGTGAAATACATAAAAAGAATAGTCAGAAAATAAGGGGGAAAATTAGGATTGGTCCAAGTCATAGAGGGAAGAAATAAGTTTCAAGAATGGTGTACTCTAACCAAGGAGGTAAAATATCTCTACAAGGAGAATTATGAAACACTGCTGAAAGAAATCAAAGACAATCCAAATAAGTAGAAAAATATTCCATGCTCATGGATTGGAAGTATCAATATAGTTAAAATGACTACACTGCTCAAAGCAATTTACGGATTCAACACTGTGGTATAAAAAAAAATGCCATTTTTAACAGAATAAGAGAAATGCATTCATTTGGAACCAAAAAAAGCCCAAATAGACAAAGCATTCCTAAGCAAAAAAAAAAAAAAAAAAAAAAAAACCAAAAAACAACAACAAAAAAAACCAGAGGCATCACATTACCTGACTTTAAACTATACTCTAAGGCTACACTAAGCAAAACACCATGGTATTGGCACAAAATATACATATAGACCAATGGAACAGAATAGATAACCCAGAAATAATGCTTCACGTCTCCAAACATCTGATCTTCAACAAAATTGACAAAAGCAAGCAATAGGAAAAATACTCCCTATTCAATAAATGGTGCTGGGGTAACTGGCTAGCCATATGTGGAAGAATGAAATTGGACCCCTACTTTTCACCATATATAAAAGTTAACACAATATGGATTAAAAATGTAAGTGTTAAATCCTCAAAATATGAAAATCCTACAAGAAAACCCAGGAAATACTCTTCCTAAACTAGGCTTCATTTGGCAAAAAATTTATGGCTAAGTTCCCCCAAAGCAATTGCAACATAAACAAAAATTGACAAGTGGCACCTAATTAAATTAAAGAACTTATGCCCAGCAAAATAAATTACCAATGGAGTAAACAGACAACCTACAGAAGGGGAAAAATATTCACAAACCATGCATCTGACAAAGGTCCACAATTACAAGGAACTTAAACAAATCAACAAGCCAAAAACAAACAAAAAAAATCCACTTAAAAATGGGAAAAGGACATGAACAGACACTTCTCAAAAGAAGACATACAAGTATCCAACAAATATGAAAAAAATGCTCAACATCACTTATCATGAGGAAAAATGCAAATCAAACCCACAATGGGATATAATCTTACCAGTAAGAACAGTGGTTACTAAACAGTAGAAAAACAACATATGTTTGTGAGGCTGTAGATAAAAGGAAAAGCTTATATACTGTTGGTGGGAATGCAAATTAGTTCAGCCACTGTGGAAGGCAATTTGGAGATTTCACAAAGAACTAAAAATAGAACTACCATTTGAACCAGTAATCTCACTGCTGGGTATATACCCAGAGAAAAATAACTCTTTCTATCAAAAAGGCACATGCACCCATTTGTTCATTGCAGCACTATTCACAAGAGCAGAGACATGTAATCAATCTATGTGCCCATCAACAGTCAACTGGATAAAGAAAATGTGGTACACACACACCGTGGGATACTATCCAGCCATAAAAAAAGAATAAAATTATGTCCTTTGCAACAACATGGATAGAGCTGGGAGCAATTATCCTAAGTGATCTAATGCAAGAACAAAAAAATAAATACTCGATGTTAACACTTATAAGTTGGAGCCAAACACTGCATGCACATGAATATAAATATGGGAACAACAGACACTGGGAACTACTAGATGGGAAAGGAAGGGAGGAAGGAATGGGCTGAAGGATCACTTGTTCAGTACCGTGTTTACTGACTAGGTGATGCGATCATTGGGAACCCAGGTCTCAGCACCACGCAATTTACCCATGTAACAAACCTGCACATGTACCCTTTAACCTATAATAAATGTTGAAATGTAAAAACAGGAAAAGAAAATTCATATATATAATCTTATTCTTGGATGATGTTGTATGGATACATTGTGGTAGTTATACCCAAATTTGTTATAATATTTATTCCTTTATATCTAAAATTAGAATGATCATTTAGATTCAATTCATTTTTAAGCTGTAATATTTTATTCTGATTTAAATAACAAGACCTGAACATTATTATTAGGTTGGAATACATAAGAACAGGTCAAAAAAGTTTCTGAATATCCATGGTCACAGCAACCAGAGATATTTACTGTTAGCATTTTGGTGTATGTCTTTCTAATCTTCTCTTTTCCATACCTTTATTGAAACATATTATTTATATTAAAAAGTGCATAAATTATAAGTATACAAGTCAATGAATTTTCACAAATTGGACATATTTGTGTAACCAGCAATCAGTCAACAAACAGAATATTACCCAAAACCAGAAATTCCCCTTACACCTCTTTCCTGTCATTAGAACATCATCTGTCCTAAGAGTAAACATCACTCTGGGAGGCCGAGGCAGGTGGATCACGAGGTCAGGAGATCGAGACCATCCTGGCTAACACGGTGAAACCCTGACTCCACTAAAAATACAAAAAACAGCCGGGCGTGGTGGCGGGAGCCTGTAGTCCCAGCTACTCAGGAGGCTGAGGCAGGAGAATGTCAGGAACCCAGGAGGCGGAGGTTGCAGTGAGCCAAGATCGCACCACTGCACTCCAGCCTGGGAGACAGAGCGAGACTCCGTCTCAAAACAAAACAAAAAAAAAGTAAACGTCATCTTAAATTTTAACACCATAGATTTGTTTTGCCTATTTTTGAACTCTATATAATTGAAATCATAAAGTATAATTATTTTCATGTCTAGCTTCTTTCAGTCAGTATTATATTTGTGGGATTCAAACACATTAATGTTTGTGGTTGTAAATCATTCCATTTCCTTGCTGAATAGCATTCTATTTTTTGAACATATCTGGATTTTTTTACTCATTCTACTGCTCATGGGCATTTGGGTAATTTCCAGGTTTTGGAAAATATAGTGCTGTTATGAATATTCTTTTTTAAAGTATGATATGCTAGGGGTGAAATACATTAGCTTTCAGGCATCATCAAGATTTGGAGATCATTATGTTAAGTGAAATAAGCCAGGCACAGAAAGCAACGTCACATGTTCTCACTTATTTGTGGAATCTAAAAATCAAAAACAACTGTGCTCATGTACATAGAGAGTGAAATAATGGTTACCAGAAGCTGGGAATGGTAGGGGGTATTGGGGGTGATGTGGGGATGGTTAATGCGTACAAAAAATAGAAGGAATAAGACCTACTATTTGATAGCACAACAGGGTGACTATAGTCAATAATAATGCAATTGTACATTTTAAAATAAAGAATTTAATTGGATTGTTTTTAATGCAAAAGATAAATGATTGAGGGGATGGATATCCCATATTCCATCATGTGCTTATTTCACATTGCATGTCTGTATGAAAACATCTCATGTACTCATAAATATATATGCCTACTATGTACCCATAAAAATTACAAATGAAAAATTAAATTAAAAAAATTAAAAAGTGGAGTGTTGACATCTTAACAAAGATTGTGCCTTTGTTACTCTGAATTAGCAACATGCAGATGGATCTCTAATCTTTCTACTCATTATCAAGAAAAATACTCAATACCTAATTTTCCCAATTATCTAGGAGCTGGATGCCTGATTCCAGAGACTAGTAAAATATCTTCCATATGGAAAGCTCTAAAGAGAGAATATGGTGGGGTGGGGAATAAAATTGCCTTTCTCTCCTCATTTCCATGCCCATTAATGAGCAGAAGATTATAAGAATTTATACAAAAAGCTCTAATTATTTGAAAATTACTGCTTGTGGATACCAGATTAGAGATAATAAGGTCTTTCAGATTTTTTTTTCACTAGTCTAAGTGATTTTTTAGGGAATAACTTGAGAGAGCTGTTGCAGGAAGTTAATGAACTGACCTAGGCACTCCTCCCTTTCGATGTATTTGCAGTTAAATGTCTATGATTGTTTGAATCTTTTTTTATTTGTTTGTTGATCTCTTTTGACCTTTAACAAGTATGAGTCCAAACACAAAGTCCTTTAAAAGTAATTTCTTGAAAGGCTTCAAGATGGCTGACTGGACGCATCTGGTACTTGTCTCTTTCATGGAGAGGAACCAAAATAGTGGGTAGATAATCACCCCTCGAATAGACCAGACCGTGCAATGACCACTGCCTAGGGACTAAAGAACTGAATTACCCACCCACCCAGCCCACTGATTCTAGTCCTAGCATCTAAGCAAGCCACGTGGAGGCCCAAGAATCAGCCTTTTTAGACCCACTATCATGGTGCCAGTGTATGCCACACTGGAGCCCAAAACAGGCATTCATGACTTACTCCTGCCAACACTGGGGCTCAAAGACTTGCTCATTTGGTATCCTACTCTTCAGAAAAAGTTCGCCACAGCCTCCACTAACAACCACACCCCAAGCCACCAATAAAATAATAGTTGTTTATATGCCGGATTTTCTTTATCCAGTCTATAATTGATGGGCACTTGGGTTGGTTCCAAGTCTTTGCTATTGTAAATAGTGCTGCAATAAACATACATGTACATGGGTCTGTACAGTTGAATGACTTATAATCCTTTGGGTATATACCCAGTAATGGGATTGCTGGGTCAAATGGTATCTCTGGTTCTAGATCCTTGAGGAATCGCCACACTGACTTCCACAATGGTTGAACTAATTTGCACTCCCATCAACAAGGTAAAAGCATCCCTATTTCTCTGAATCCTTGCCAGCATCTGTTGTTTCCACACTTAAAAAAATGAGTTCATGTCCTTTGTAGGGGCATGGATGAAGCTGGAAACCATCGTCCTCAGCAAACTAACCCAGGAACAGAAAACCAAACACCGCATGTTCTCACTCATAAGTGGGAATTGAACAATGAGAACACATGGACACAGGGAGGGGAACATCACACACTGGGGCCTGTCAGGGATGGGGGGAAAGGGGAGGGAGAGCATTAGGACAAATACCTAATGCATGCAGGGCTTAAAACCTAGATGATGGGTTGATAGGTGCAGCAAACCACCATGGCACATGTATACCTATGTAACAAACCTGCACGTTCAGCACATGTATCCCAGAACTTAAAGTAAAATAAAAAATTAAAAAACAAAGCAAAAAGAAATAATATTGCTGATGCCATTTACAGTTGATAAAAAAATCACACAGAAACTACACTACTGCATGCATCCAAAATCAGAGCCAAAGTACGCTACCAAACCATTACCAAAAAACATCTTTAGGAAAAAGTCCTCCATTAAGAAAGCAAATTTAAAGCAAAAAATTGGAAGAAACAACTTTCACACCAAATGTGCAGCTATCAACCTAAGGACACAGGAAAAAAAAAAAGGACAGAGGAAAAAGCAAAGATACATGACACCTCCAAAGGAACAAAATAATTCTTAAGCAACAGATCCAAATAAAAAAGAAATTTATGAAATCCTGGAAAAATATTTTAAAATATCGATATTAAAGAAGCTCAGTGAGATACAAGGGAATACTGGAAAAAATACAAAGAAATCAGAAAAGCAATTCAGAATATGAGACAGGAACTTGCCAAAAATATAGACATGATTAAAAAATCTAACAGTAATTTTGGAACTGAATAATTCATTGAATGAAATAGAAAACACATCTGAAAGTTTCAATAATGAACTGACTACAGCAGAACAAAGAATCTCAGAGCTTGAAGACAGGTATTTTGAAATAACACAGTCAAACAAAAATAAAGAAAAAAGAATTGAAAAAGTATGAGCAAAGCATATATGGCATATGGGAAATGATAAAATGATCAAATATTCAAATTTTCAATGTCCCAGAAGGCAAAGAGAAAAGCAAAGGGTTAGAAAACCTATTTTATTAAATAATAGATGAAAACTTCCCAAGTGTAGCAAGAGACTTGCGCACACAGATATAGGAAGCTCAAAGACCTCCAAATACATGTAAGACATAAATGTGTTCTCCATGGCACATTACATCAAACTGTCAAAAGTCATAAGCAATGATAAAATTCTAAAAACAGAAGGAGAATAGTGTCTAGTCACTTATAATGGAACCCTAATGACTTCTTATGGAAAAGCTTACAAGGCAGGATTAAATGAAATGATATACTCAAAGTGCTAAAAGAAAAATAATGCCATTCAAGGATACTATACTCAGCAAAGTTATACTTCATATATTAAGAAGAAATAATTTTTTCCCAGCTAAACAAGAGTTGAGGGAATTAACTGGCACTATACTGTCCCGACAACAAATGCTCAAGGGAGACCTCCATCCAGAAGTGAATGAAGAATATCTACCATTATGAAAACACACAAAACTACAAAATACACTGGTAGAGCTAGTGCAAAAGCAAGGAAAACACTCAAATGTTACCACTGCAGAAATTCACCAAATCACAATGATATCTGTAAGAGAAAAATAAAGGAATAAAAAGTATACCATCAACCAGAAATCAATAAATGAAAGGCAAGGAATAAGCCTTCACACATCAATAATAACCTTGAATGTAAATGAATTCAACTTTTCACTTAAAAGATATAGACTAGCTGAATGGATTTTTAAAAAAAAAAAAAACAAACAACAACAACTATATGCTGCCTATGAGAAACTCATCTCACCTGTAAACACATACACAGACTAAAAGTAAAGTGATGGAAAAAGATATTCTATGCAGATGAAAACCAAAAGCAAGTAGGAGTAGCTATACTTAGATAAAACAGACTTTAAGTCAAAAGCAACAAAGAGAGAACAGAGAGAGACAAATAAGGTAAATATATAATGAAAAAGGGATAAGTTCAGCAAACATGTTTAAAAATTCTAAGCATATATGCAACCAATACCAGAGAACCCAGATATGTAAAGCAAATATTATATCTAAAGACAGAGATAGTCTTCAATACAATAAGAGTAAGGGATTTCAGCAACCCACAATCAGCCTTAGACAGATCACCTAGACAGAAAATGAACAAATAAATATTGGATTTAAACCGCACAGTATATTCGTGGGAGGTAAAATTTAAGATAACTGAACTCATAGATAGAGACAGGAGAAGGACGTCTACCACAGTCTGGGCATGGGAATGGGGGAAATGGGCATGTTTAATGGGTACAATAAAATAGAAAGAATAAGACCTAGCATTTGATGGCACAAAAGGGTGACTAGAGTAAATAATAAATTAATTGTACATTTAAAAATAACTAAAAGAATATGAGTGGATTGTTTGTAATACAAAGGATAAATGTTTGAGGTTATGGGTACCCCATATAGTATCATGTGATTATTATGCATTTCATGCCTGTATCAAAATATCTCATGTGCTTCATAAATATATGTACCTACTATGTACTCACAAAAATTATAAATTATAAAATAAGCTGCAGGTTAGACCAAATAGACCTAACAGACATTTACAGAACATTTTATCCAACAATTACAGAATGCATATTCTTCTCATCAGCACATTAAACATTTCAAAGGACAGATTATATATGAGAAGACAAAATAAGTCTCAACAAATTTTTAAAAATCAAAATCATATAAAGTATCTTCTCAAACCACAATGGATTAAAACTGAAAATAAATAATAAAATGAACTTTTTGGAAACTGAATAAATACAGGGAAATGAAACAACATGCTCCTGAATGTCAATTGGGTCGAGAAAGAAATTAAGGAGGAAATTTTAAAATATCTTGAAACAAATGAAAATTGAAACACAACATACCAAAACCTGTGTGATACAGCAAATGCAGTGCTAAGAGAGAAGTTATAGCAATAAACATATTTATCCAAAAGCAGAAAGATTTCAAATAAACAATTAATTGATACACCTCAAGGAACTACAGAAGCAAGAACAAACCAAACCCCAAATTACCAGAAAAAAATAGCAAAGAACAGAGGAGAACTAAACCAAATCAACAAAACACATAGTTGGTTTTTTGAAATGATAAAATTGATAAACCACTTGCTACATTAACCAGGAACAAAAGAGAGAAGACCCGAAGAAACAAAATAAAAGTGAGAAATGACATATTAACATTAAGAATGTAGAAATATAAAATATTATCAGAGATGCTTAAGAACAACTACACACTAACAAACTGAAAAACCTAGAGAAAATAGAAAAATTTATAGACACATACAGCCTACCAAAATTGAATCAGAAAGAAATAGAAAAGCTGAACAGACCCATAATGAATAATGAGTTTGAATTAGTGTATTAGTAAATTCTCACACTGCTATAAAGAACAACCTGAGGCTGGATGATTTATAAAGAAAAGAGGTTAAATTGGCTTATGGTTCTGCAGGCTGTACAGGAAGCATGGCTCGGGCAGGGCTCAGGAAACTTACAATCATGGTGGAAGGCTAAGAGGAAGCAGCACGTCCTACGTGGCTGGAGCAGGAGGAGGAGAAAGTGAAGGGGGAAATGCTACACACTTTTAAACAACTAGATCTTGTGAGAACTCATACGCCATTATGAGAATAGCAAGGGAGAAGTCCACCCCTATGATTCATTCACCTCCCACCAGGCATCTTCTCCAACACATGGGAATTACAATTCAAGATGAGATTTGGGTGGGAACACAGAGCCAAACCATATCAATTAGTAATAAAAAGCATAGTAAGAAAAAAAGTCCAGGACCAGATGGCTTCACAGCTGAATTCTATAAAACTTTCCAAAGATTAACACCAATTCTTTTCAAACTATTTCAAGAAATTAAATTGGAAGAAATTCTCCCTAACTCATTCTACAAAGCCAGCATTAGCCTGATACCAAAACCAGACAAGTATGCAACAAAAAAAGAAAACTACAGGCCAGTATCTCAGATGAACATAGGCACAAAAATTCTCAACATCACAAGGTGGATTCCACATCTTGGCTCTTATGAATAGTGCTACAATCAACATAGGGGTGCAGAATGTTTGTATCAAAATATCATATTTAGCTCATATATATGTACAACTATTATATATCCATAATACTTAAAAATTAAAAAATAAAATTCTAAACAAAATACTAGCAAACAGAATCAAACAGAAAATCAAAAAATACATGATCAAGTCAGATTTATTGCAGGTATGTAACGATAGTTCAACATACACAAATCAGTAAACATAATACATCAACAGAATGAGGATAAAAAATATGATCATCTCAATAGCAGAAAAAATATTTGATAAAATTCACTGTCTTTTAATAATAATAAATACTCTTAAAAAAGGTATAAAAGTAGCATAACTCAACATAATAAAGGTCATATATGACAAACCCACAACTAACATCATACTGATTGCAAAAGTTGAAAGCCTTTCCTCTATGAGCTGGAATAAGATGAGGATGCCCACTTTCAGCATGTCTATTCAACATGGTACTGGTAATCCTAGCCAGAGCAATTACATAAAAGAAAGAAATAAAAGTCATCCAAATTGAAAAGGAAGGAGTTAAATTATCCCTGTTTGCAGATGACATAATCTTATATCCAAAAAACCTAAAGATTTCACCAAAAAATCTTAGATCTAATACATAAATTAAGTAAATTTGCAGGATAAAAATTAGCATGCAAAAATAAGTAGCATTTCTATACAATAAAGAAGTAGCTGAGAAAGAAATCAACAAGGCAATCCCATTTGCAATAGCTACAAAAATAAAAAAAAAAAAAAACCTAGGAGTAAATTTAACCTAAGGGGTGAAAGATCTCTAGAAGAAAAACTACAAAACTCTGATGAGAGAAATTGAAGAGGACACAAAAAAATGAAAAGACATCATGTTCTCATGGATCAGAAGAATTAATATTAAAATTACCATAATGCCCAAAGCAATCTACAGATTCAATGCAATCTCTATTGAAATACCAATATCACTTTTCATGGAAGTAGAATAGCAATTCTAAAATTCGTATGGAATCAAAAAGAGCCCAAATAGCCAAAGGATTCCTGAGCAAAAAGAATGAACATGGAGGCACCACACTATCTGACTTCAAAATATATTACAAGGCTATAGTAGCCAAAACAGCATGGTATTTGGTATAAAAATTAGACACAAAGACCACTGGAACAGAATAGAGAATCCAAAAATAAATCCACCCATTTATAGCCAACTGATTTTTCACAAAGGCACCAAGAATATACATTGGGGTAAGGACATCCTCTTCAATAAATGGTGCTGGGAAAATAGGATATCCTTATGAAGGAGAAAGGAACCAGGCCCAAATCTCTCACCATATAAAAAAAATCAGGTCGGCCGAGCACGGTGGCTCACGCCTGTAATCCCAGCACTTTGAGAGGCTGAGGCGGGTGGATCACGAGGTCAGGAGATCAAGACCATCCTGGCTAACATGGTGAAACCCCATCTCTACTAAAAATACAAAAAATTAGCCGGGTGTGGTGGCGGGCGCCTGTAGTCCCAGCTACTCAGGAGGCTGAGGCAGGAGAATGGTGTGAACCTGGGAGGCAGAGCTTGCAGTGAGCCGAGATCACGTCACTGCACTCCAGCCTGGGCGACAGAGTGAGACTCTGTATCAAAAAAAAAAAAAAAAAAAAAATTAGGTCAAGACGGATTAAAGCCTTTAATGTAAGACCTGAAACTATAAAACTACTAGAAGAAAACATAGGGGAAATGTTTCAGGTATGCTTTGATTTAGGCAACGATTTTATGGCTAAAACCTCTAAAGCACACATGATAAAAAACAAAACTAGACAAATAGGACTCTACTAAACTAAAAGGCTTTTTGCACAGCAAAGGAAACAATAAACAAAGTAAAGAGACAGCCTGTTGAATGGGAGAAAACACCTGCAAACTATTCATCCAGCAAGAGATTAATATCCAGAATATACAAGGAACTCAAATAAGTCCACAGTAAATAATAATAAATATCATGTTAAAAGTGGGCAAAGTGCATGAGTAGACACTTCTCAAAGGAAGACGTAAAAATAGCCCACAGATATATGAAAAAAATGTTCAACATCACAAAGTAGGCAAATCAAAACCACAATGAGATACCTTCTTACCCCAGTTAGAATGGTTATTATTAAATAGATAACAAATAACAGATGCTGGCAAGGATGCGGAGAAAAGGGAACTCATATACTGTTAGTGGGAATATAAATTAGTACAGCTACTATGGAAAACAGTATGGATATTTCTCACAAAACTAAAACTGGAACTATCATATTATCCAGGAATGCCACTACTAGGTATTTATCCGAAAAAAATAAATCAGTATACCAAACAAATAACTACAACTCACATGTTTTTTGCAGCACCGTTCAGAATAGCAAAGATTGGGAATCAACCTAAGTGTCCCTCACCAGATAAATGGATAAAGAAAATGTGCTATAATACACAATTGAATACTATTTGGCCACAAAGAAAGAATAAAATTATCTTATTTACCACAACATGGATGGAATTGGAGGTAACTATGTTTAGTGAAACTATCCCAGCAAAGAAGGACAAATATCACATATTCTCACACATATGTGGGAGATATAAAAGTTGATTTCATGGAGGTGGAGAGAAAAATGATGGATACCAGAAGCTGAGAAGGGTGTTAGGGTGGGAGCGGGGTATGAAGAGAGGTTGGCTACAATGAGTACAACCATATATTTAGATAGAAAAAATTAATTCAAACGCTAGATAGCAGAGTAGCAAATATATAATAAAAACAGTGTATTATATATAAATATTGTTTCTCCATTTAAAAAGATGAAAGCTATTCTCTGAAGTTTGTTAGTCCCTCCTGCCACCTAGATAAATGTTAGAACTTATTGCCATATCCTCATTTATATTTTTCCCTATCCTCATTCATCTTAAACTCTCATATTTTTCTGTCACCTTGTCTGTCTGTACTACATTCTAGATGATTTTTTCATATTTATTTTTCAGTTCAGTACTTCTTTCTTTAGTTTTATTCTGTTGATTAACTCATTCATCTAGTTTTTCATTTCAATGTTTACGTTAATTTATTTCTAACAATTATATTTGGTACTTTAAAAATCTGTTTGGAAATGTTAGTAATCTCTAGTTTCTTGCTTATTAATTTAATTCCATGTTTTAATTCCCTAGGCAGCTCAGATAAAGTGTAAAATAACTATATGTCTGAATAGTTACGGATCTAAATCTATGCTTAGCTGTTTCTGTGATGCTCTCATGGTGGTTGGATTCCTTGTGTGTTTGAACATTTGTTTTTTTTTTTTTATTGTGAGCTCATATTTGGTTCAGTTTAAGGGCCTCAAATACAGGTAGAGAGATCAAAAGATAAAACTTGAGCCCAAAGTAAGGTGTGGATGCTGAATTTGAGACTCCCATTAATATAGACAGGACCTTCAGGTCAGTAGCGCTCTCTTATCATAAACAAACACAACTTTACTCTGAAGAAAAGCACCTGTATTTTAGATGCATTTTAGAATTATTGCATTCTCTGTGAGCTCCTTGGGGACAGGAATAATATCTCTCATCATTACATTCTCAACGCCTGAAATAATGTAGGGTACAGAAGACATCATTTATAAAAATAATTAATGGAAATCATAGTAAGAACTGGAATTATGATCCGGATAAAACCGTGCATGTGAAAACTCTTTTTGTTGTTATATCACTGTCACATGAAATGCTAACTAGACTTTGATAACATTTACTCTCATAATACAATAACAAGATCAGGTCTGATCTATTGTCATCACTGAAACCATCTAGATTCCTCTGTTTATGACAATGTAAACAGTAAATACATTTATCTAACTATAATTTAATGCATCATAAGGAATTTTAAATACTTTTTTATTCTTTTTCCCAGTGACTTACATAATGCAGTTATCTAAACAAATGCATTCAGAATGAATGAATGAATGTATTTATGTCTGTTTTGGAGAAATTTATATTTGCACCTGATGTCGAGATTTATTATAGTTCTCAAACATCCTTATTTAGACAGTTAGCATGAAAATCAGTAATAACACATATAACAGACTGGAAGTAACCGGAGTGTATTTCTCTTCCTTTTAACCAAGAGCCATTTTAAAACAATAAATGAACCATGATTTGTGTGTGTCGGGGTGTATGTGTGTGTGTGTGTGTGTGTACTTTTAATAAGGCTAAATTCTACAGGCAGCATTTGAGATTATATTGAAATAAAAGACATAAAATATGAGAGCTCAAATAATATAAACTTACTTATTGCTAATTCTATATTAATAATCTCTTAGTCATATTTATACAACTGTTCTAATAAGTTCATATGATGACATTAGTGTAGTGATAACATGGTTTATATTCAGGATTAAGCTAATTGAAAATAAAGTAATTTGAATACAAATGTACAAATATCAGTTTACTTGACTCTTCTCTATCATAACACAGAATATTTTTAAATTACATTTTACTTATTCTTTTTCCAAGACTTCCATAGTCACCCATCATACTAGCAGGATTTATTATGCAAGGATATAATCTGCAATTACTATTTAGAAAAATGCTATGTTCTGATCCAAGACAATCAAATCTATGATTCCTGCAAAAAATCAAATAGCCTTAGTTGTATTATTTGTAATATTGTAATTTAGTTATCCTGGTTCTTTAAAATCTGTTTGTTGAGATAATAGCATTACATAGTGATTACTAAAATCATAGAATAACTATGTGTACCTTTTAAAATAAAAACTTTATTTCAAAAGTCTAACCTTTTAATAATAAGCCTATGTCAAGGTATATATATATCTATTTATTTATTTCTCCAAAACAGACATAAAAATGGCCAATAGATATATGAAAAGTTGGTCAACATCAGTAATCACAAGGAAATGCAATTAATAACCACAGTGAGATATCACCTTTCACCTGCTAGTGTGGTTTCATCAAAATACAAAAGATAAGTATTAGAAAGGATGTTGAGAAATTAGAAATTCGTAGTTTTTTTAACATTTCAAATTTTATTATAGGTTAAAGGGTACATGTATAGGTTTGTTACATGAGTAAATCATGTGATTCGGAGGCTAGACGTCCCTGTGATATTGACACCCAGGAAGTAAGCATAGAACCCAACAGACTGTTCTTCTGCCCACCCCCTGTCCCTCGGTTCCCATCTTTACATTCATATGTATTCAATGTTTAGCTCAAACTTATAAGTGAAAATATGTGGTATTTGGTTTTGTGTTCTTGCATTTGATTGTTTAGGATAATTGGCCTCCAGCTCCATCCACGTTACTGAAAAGGACATGATATTGTTCTTTTTATTTCTGTAATATTCCATGTTGTATATGTAGCACATTTTCTTTATCCAATCCACTGTTGATGGGCAGCTAGGTTGATTTCATATTTTTGCTTTTGTGAATAGCACCGCAATAAACATATGACTGCATGTGTATTTTTGATAGTTGGCTTTCAATCCTGTGCATACTTTCTTTTTTTTTCCTATTTCCTTCCTTCCTGCCTGCCTACCTGCCTTTACTTCTGTCTTCTTGTTTTTTGTGTGCTTCACCAGTATTTACATATTGTGAGTCCAACAATGCACAAAACACATGTCAATTTAGCTAGAATCTAATTATATTGTAGCATGAGAGCCCTTCATTGTATCTAATTTGACCTAATGTTGAAAGCATAGGTGGCTCTTATTATTTGGAGGTATGTTCCCTCAATACCTAGTTTATTGAGAGTTTTTAACATGAAGGGGTGTTGAATTTTATTGAAAGCCTTTTCTGCCTCTGTTGAGATAATTGTGTGTTGTTGATTTTTTTTTCACACTAGTCTCACTTAGCAAATCATGTGGTTTTTGTCTTTAGTTCTGTTTATGTGATGAAACACATTTATTGATTTTTATATGTTGAACCAATCTTGTATCCGTGGATGACGCCTACTCTATCATGATGGAGTAGCTTTTTAATATGCTGCTGGATTCAGTTTGCCAGTATTTTGTTAAGAACTTTTGCCTTGATGTTTATCAAGGATATTGGCTTGAGGTTTTCTCTTTTTGAAAACTCTGCCAGGTTTTGGTATCAGGTTTTGGTGCCAAGTTTTGGTATCATAGAATGAGATAGGAAATAAGGATTTGGATAAACTAGAACCTTGTGCACTTTTAGTTGCAATATAAAATTGTGCAGTCACTCAATGTGGAAAACAGTATGGTAGCTCCTCAAAATATATTTTTAAAACATAAAATAGCCATATGATCCAGCTTTCCACTTCCGGGTATAAAACCAAAAGTATGAAAAGCAGGAACCTGGACTGATATTTGTACACCAACATTGATACCAGTATTATGCACAATAACAAATACATGGAAATAACCCAAATGCCAACTTATGGATGAAATTGATAAATACAATGTGCTACATAATACAATAAAATATTATTCAGCCTTAAAAAAGACAGAAGTCTTGCCATATGTGACAACATTGGATGAACCTGGTGGACATTTGGCTAAATGAAAAAAGCCAGTCACACAATGACAAACACTGCATGATTCCACATATATTAGTTATGTAAAATAGCCAAACTCATAGAAACAGAGAGTGAATAGTCGTCGCCAGGAGCTGTAGAGAGAGAGACATGGAGAGTTGCTGTTCAACTGGTTTAAAGTTTCAGTTATGCAAAATGAATAAGTTCAAGAGATCTGCTGTACAGCATTGTGCCTACAGTCAACACTAGTCTATTGAGCACTTAAAAATGTGTAAGATGGTAGGTCTCATATTAAGCATATTAAGTTTTTACAACAAAGAATAATAATAGAAATAGAATTTACTTAGAAAAATCAATGTAATGAATTGTACTAATAAAGCACAAAAACCACAATGTCATCTTGATAGATACAGCAAAACAATGTGACAAAATACAATGTGTTTTCATAGTAAATACACAAAACAAACTAAGCATAGATGAAAACTTCATCAATCTGATAAAAGACATCTATATAAAGCCCACCAATCACATAATATTCAATGGTAAAAACTGAAAGCTTTCCTCTTGAGATAAGAAATAAGACAAGGATATTCACTCTCACCATGTCTATTCAACATTGTATTGCAGTCTCTAGCCACAGAATAAGGCAAGAAATAGAAATAAAAGGCATATAGATTGAAAAAGATAAATAAGACTATCTCAATTTGCAGATAGTATGATCTTATATAGAGAAAATTCTTAAAGAAACTACAGAAAAAAATTGTAAAGAATCTATATAAAACCATTAAAGCTAAAAAAATTAATAAAGTTGAAGAATATAAGAACAATATAGAAAAATTAATTATATTTCTATACACAGCAGTGAGCAATCTGAAATTAAAATTAACAAAACAATTTCACTTATAAATTTGAAAACATTAAAAAACAAAATACAGGCATACCCTGTTCTTTGCACTTTACAGATACTATATTTTTTACAAACTAAATGTTTGTGGCAACCTTGCATTGAGCAAGTCTATTGGTGTCATTTTTCCAATAGCACTTGTTCACATTTTGTCTCTGTGCCACATATTGGTAATTCTCATGAAATTTCAAACTTTTAATTATTATTATATCACTTATGGTGGTCTATTATCAGCGATCTTTGATGTTACTCTAATTGTTTTGGGACTCCATGCACTGCTCCTATATACAATGGCAAACGTAATTGATAAATGCTTTGCATGTTCTGACTGCTTCACTGACCTGTCGTCCCCCCATTTCTCTTCCTCTGCTCAGGTCTTCTATTCCCTGAGATACAACAATATTGAAATTATGTCAACTACTAATCCTCCAGTGGCCTCTAAGTGTTCAAGTAAGAGGAATAGTCACATGTATCTCGCTTTAAATCGAAAGCTAGAAATGATTAAGCTTAGTAAGGAAGGCATGTCAAAAGCCAAGATAGGCTGAAAGCTAGGCCTCTTGCACCAAACAGTTAGCCAAGTTGTGAATGCAAAGGAAAAGTTCTTGAAGGACATTAAGAGTGCTACTCCAGTGAAAACACAAATGACAAGAAAGTGAGCTAGCCTTATTCTTGATATGGAGAAACTTGTAGTTATCTGGATGGAAGATCAAACAAGTCACAACATTTCTTTAATTCAAATCCTAATCCAGAGCAAGGCCCTACCTCTCTTTAATTCCTTGTAGGCTGAAAGAGGTTAAGAAGCTGCAGAAGAAAAGTTGGTATCTAACAAACGTGGGTTTATGAGGTTTAAGTAAAGGAACAATCTCCTTAACATAAAAGTGCAAGGTGAAGCAGCGAGTGTGGATGTAGAAGCTGCAGCAAGTTATCCATAAAATCTAGCTAAGATCATTGAGGAAGGTGGCTACACTAAATAATAGGTTTCAGTGTAGACAAAACACCCTTATATTGGAAGAAGATGCCATCTAGGACTATCATAGCTAGAGAAGAGAAGCCATACCTGGCTTCAAAGCTTCAAAGGACAGGCTAACTCTCCTATTAGGGGATAATGCAGTTGGTGACTTTAAGTTCAAGCCAATGCACATTTTCCATTACAAAAATAAAAACCCTGTAATTCTTAAGAGTTATGCCAAATTCTATTCTGTCTCTGCTCTATGATGGAGCCATGAAGCCTGGATAATGGCACATCTATTTACAGCATGCTTTACTGAACATTTTAAGCCCACTATTGAGACCTATGGCTCAAAAAGAAAAGATTCCTTGCAAAATATTACTGCTCACTGCAAATGAATCTAGTTACCTGAGAGCTCTGTAAAAAGAAATTCATTTTTCATGCCTGCTAACACAACATACATTCTGCAGCTATGTAATACGGAGTAATTGTTTGACTTTCGAGTTTCGTTATTTAAGAAAGGCATTTGGCAAAGCTATAGCTTCCATATATAGAGATTACTCTAATGGATCTGAGCAACATAAATTGAAAACTTTCTGAAAAGAATTCACCATACTAAATGTTATTGCAAACATTTGTGATTCATGGAAAGAGGTCAAAATGCCAACATTAACAAGAGTTTGGAAGAAGTTTATTCCAACCCTTGTGGATGACTTTGAGGGACTCAAGACTTCAGTGGAGGAAGTCACTGCACATGTGAAAATCGCAAAAGTACTAGAATTAGAAGTAAAATGTGAATATATGACTAAATTGCTGCAATCTCATGATAAAACTTGAATGGATGAAGAGTTGTTATTTTATGGATGAACAAAGAACATGGTTTACTGAGACGGAATATACTCCTGATAAAAATGTTGTGAACACTGTTGAAATGACAACAAAGTATTTGGAATATTACATAAAGTTAGTTGGTAAAAGAGTGGTAGAGTTTAAGAGAATTGTCTCAAATTTTGAAAGAAATTTACTGCAGGTAAGATGCCTTCAAACAGCATCACATGCTACAGAGAAATCTTTCATGAAAGGAAAAGTCAATTGATGTGGCAAACTTCATTGCTGTCTTATATTAAGGAATTTCCACAGCCACCCCAACCTTCAGTGACCACCACCCTGATCTGTCAGCAGCCATCAACATCAAGGCAAGGCCCTCCACCAGTAAAAAGATTATGACTCGGCGAAGGCTTAGATAATCATTACTATTATTTTAGCAATGAAGTATTTTCAAATTAAGGTATGTATACTGTTTTTTAGACATAATGGCATCACACACTTAATAGACTACAGTATTGTGTAAATATAACTCTTACATGCACTGAGAAATCAATTTGTGTGACTTGCTTTATTGCAATATATGCTTTATCGTGGTGGTCTGGAACCAAATACATGATATCTCTGGGGTATGGCTGTACTGAGGAGTAAACTTTAAAGAAGTGCAAAATGTATAGTTTGAAAACGACAAAACATTGCTGGAAGAAATTGAAGAGAACCTGAATAAAAGGAAAATATCTTGTTTTCATGGTTCAAAATACTTAATACTGCTTAATACTGCTGATATGGCAATACTCGGCAAATGTATCTACAGTTTCAATAGAATCCTTGTTGTAATTCCAGTTGATATCTTATCAGAAACTGATCTAAAAATTCTCATAGAAACACAAAGGATCAAATAGACCCAAAGCAATTCTGAATAAAATAATAAAAGACTCATATGTCTTTATTTTAAAACTTATTATAAAGCTATAGTAATCAAGATAGTATGATATTGGCAAAAGAATAGACACGCAGATAATTAAACATAATTGAGTGTCCAGAAATCAGTGCTTAATTTTACAGAGAAGTGATTTTTGATGAGGGTGCCTACTTAATTCAATGAGGAAATGTTTAAAACAAACAGTGCTAGGATGATTGAATGTTCAAATGCAAAATAATGAAGTTGGTCCCCTATCTAACACAACAAAAATTAACTCAAAGGGGAGTACAGATCTAAGTGTAAGGACGAAGCATTCTTAGATACAACACCAAAAGCACATGTGTCAAAAAATAGATAAATTGATCTTTATGAAAATGAATAACCTGTCCATCAAAGGATACTACGAAAACAGTAAAAAGATAACCCACAAAATGGGATAAAATATTTAGAAGTCACATGCCTGATAAAGATATTGTATCCATAATATAAAAAGAACTCCTACAACTTAAAAACAAATGATAAATTAAATAAAATAAATAATTAAAATGCCTAATAAAAATTGACAAAGGACTTAAATAGATATTTGTCCAAAGAAGATGTATAAATAGCCAATAAACACAGGAAAAGATGCTCAAAATGATTATTCATCAGGGAATACAAATCAAAGCCAAAATGAGATAATACATCGCAAACATTAGTCTAGCTATAATCAAAATCACAGAAAATAGTAAGTGTTGGAGAGAGCAGGGAGAAATTAAAACCTTCATATATTGCTGGTGGAAATGTAAACGGCTGCATCCACTTTGGCAAAGAGTGTGGTAGTTCCTCAAGTGCTTAAACACAAAATTACCATAAGACACATCAATTTCACTCCTAAGTATATATACATGTGAAATGAAAACACAAGTCAACCCAAAACTGTATGCAAATGTTCCCAGCAGCATTATTTGTAACAGCCAAAAGGTGGAGGTATCCCAAATATCCTTCAACTGATGAATGGATAAACAAAATATGATGTATCCATGCAATGAAATAATATTCTACCTTAAAAAATAAAAGCAAACAACTTCATTAAAAAGTGGACGAAGGACATGAACAGACTTTTCAAAAGAAGGCATACATATAGCCAGCAGCATGTAAAAAATGTTCAATATCATTGATCATTAGAGAAATGCAAACCAAAACCACTATGAGATACCATCTCACACCAATCAGAATGGGTATCACTAAAAAGTCAATAAACAACAGATGATGGCAAGGTTGTGGAGAAAAAGGAATGCTTATACACTGGTGGTGGAAATGTAAACTAGTTCAGTCACTGGGGAAAGCAGTTTGGCGATTTCTCAAAGAACTTAAAATAGAACTACCATTTGAGCCAGCAATCCCATTATTGGATATGTACCCAAAGGAATATAAACCATTCTAAATCATGCATGTGTATGTTCATTGCAGCACTGTTCACAAGAGCAGAGACGTTAAATCAACCTAAATGCCCATTAAAAACATGGTACATATACACCATGGAATATTATGCAGCCATAAAAAAGGACAGGACGATGTCCTTTGCAGCAACATGGATGGGGTTGGAGGCTAAGAGAGAGAACTAATGCAGGAACAGAAAACCAAATACTGCATGTTTTCACTTATAAGTGGAACATAAATATTGAGAACACATAGAAACAAAGAAAAGAACCACAGACACTGGGGCCTACTTGAGGGTGGAGGTTGGGAAGAGGGAGAGGATTCAAAAACTACATGTCAGATACAATGCTTATTACCTGGGTGACAAAATAATCTGTACGCCAAACCCAAGTGACACAGAATTTACATACATAACAAACCTGCACTTGTACCTCTGAACTTAAAAGTTGAAAAAGAAATATGACAATGCTTTTATTCCAGGTAAAATATAATATATACTATTGTGACCAAAGGATGTTAAAACTATTAGCTGTTCATCTGTAGGCTGTGGGTTAACTTAAAATATAACATTTCAATGGGCTAAATTCTTGGGCTGGATGGTGAATTTATTGTTCCACTATTTCTGTAGCATATCAGATTTGATAATCAGAGTGCTTGGGGCATCTTGCACATAGAGAGTTTTCCATTGAAAACATTTACTTCCCAGTGCAAAATATCACAAAAACCCTATTCCTGATAGCAGTTTGAGAGATGAGTGGCTGCCAGAGGAAGGGGGTTTTACTCTGTGCCTTTGTTTCCACACAGGTAAAGTAGAGTGAATAGCCGTAATTGCTGTACTCTAAAGAATCCCAGAACTGACTGTTAAAGACCACATAACACAATGTCATAACGTGATTAATTTGGTCGATTTATTTGACATAGTCTGTGAAAAAATAAAATCAAAAGCTTTATTTGACTGATCAGTTTATTCAAAATACTTGATTCAAAACTAAAATCACAATATTAGGCATAGTCAAAATGGATATCAATGCCGTGAAAGCTCAGGTCATGCAGACTTTGAGACATGTATTATAATGTCATCCAGTTTTACCAGATACAGTAAGGGTGGGCTACATGAATACTCTAAAGGTATGTCTTAATGTTCTGAAAATTCCTTCATGATAGCAAAGCTGGCATTTTATAATTTTCAGAGCTATAAATCATTTTTAAAATCATGATGATACTCAAAGCAGATGTGAAAACATATGTTTGCCACAGTTGTATAAACTGCTTACTTGTCACAGTTAATAAATGTTGACACTTCTACTTTAACTCATTCCCTTTTAATAACTAAACTCTATTTCAGGAAAATATATTTTTTTCTTACCGTCACAAATGTAACTGGAAGAACTTGACATAGAGAATCCCATTTTTTTAATAAAAACCTTTCCACTATAACTGGGGTGCAGTTTAATATGCCACTCTTGCTTATTAATGTCCTCATCAGGATATGTGACCAACTTATTTGAGTTAAACAAGTAATATTCTACCATTCCACAGCAAGAAATTCAGAAATACCAGTGCATACTACTATATATTTTATGAAAATCAGATACTGTACATCTGTAGTAATGCTTGAACTGATTTTTCATAAGACACAATAGTGTATACTTGAGTGCTGCAGTACGTGGGACAGTCCCAAATGCCATTTTGACTTATGGGGTTTGCAGCTCTGATTGTATCATATGCATCATGTACAGCTTGGGACTTTCCTAGCAAAGCTGCTTTACTATCAAGATGTCCTTTAAATAATCATGACATGGTGGGAAAAAAGTCTCAGGAACAAATTGTTGCTGGGTTATAAATGAAGTTTCAACTATAACTAGACTTTCATTACCTGTGCAAGAGTTTGGGTAGTTTAATATCATGAACCTGACTTTCTTTCTGACAACTATTCTGAAATCAATCATCTGCATTTTGGAGCCCCAGAGGGTATAGCCTTTCACTGTCAGGCTAAGAAAAGACAAAACATGTGGCAAGGAAACCAACCATAGATCAATGAAATTAAAATCATATATTATTTCAAATTCCAACTAAAATGCTCATCTAGGTAATTATGAAGCACGTTCAGTTTACAGAAAATAGAAAATATTCTTCATTAACTCTTCAGTTCATGAAATATTTTTTCTATATATTATGGGCACCTTTAGTAAATAGAAAAATTTACCCTGTGGTGAAGTACAATAAACTGATGATCTGATAAATTACATGTTAGCTACTGTCTAACTCATGGTGACAGCAACAATGCATAACCCATGCCATATGATTATATATTTTCCTTTTCTCTTATACTTTCAGCCTTACAAACAAAGTTGTACTCAGTTTTCATATTAGGAGAGCATCACTTTAAAATTCTTACTTTCTCTATCTTCCTTGAACAGCTCTCCTAAGACAAAACTGGATACTATGCAGAGGTGACACATGTACCTCAGCAGATCAAAAGGCAGGTTGAGATCATATCTATCAGTATTCCAGGTAAATACCTGATGGGCTAACTTGCTAAGCTTTCATCTGAAATGTCCAAATTAGCACATATTTTTAAAATAACTTTCAAGGATTGAGGGAAGCAGCTCCCCTCTATGACAGCAACTCAGTTTTGTCAAATATAACCGTCAACTATAACCAGCAAATGGTGAATCATTTAAACATAGTTAAAAAAGTAAATATGTAATACAAAGGGAGTCAGATGTCTCTGAGCTGGCATAGTAAGAGGGCTTAAGATAAAGTTTCCAACTATATGCACAGAAAAATTTCAGGCGGATATGTAATTTATAACCTCCCAAATAAACAATCTTCAGATAAACATCATGTTTTCTACTATTAAAATAATTTATCCAAATCTGGTATGAATCTATTCTTACTAAGGGAAATGTGGATGCAGTATACAGCACACAGGTGTTAACTGAGTTAGTATCTGATTATTATATGTGTATCAAATAAGCAAAAATCATTTTACCTTAATTATCTTTTTGGAATTTTTTGATGGTTAGTCCATTATCTTGATCAACAATAAGTTCCTCTCTATTGTTGGGCATCATAACTATAAATAAGAGATGTAACTGAGTAGTTTTCTATGTGAAATACCCAGAAAAAAGGCAGAAAAGTGTCACACGAATGACGAATATAATGTAATAACAACTAACATAAGTTTTATATGCTTCTACTTCTAAAACAGTAGAAAGATTTTTTGTTGGTCTGAAGATCATATAATGAAAAAATCAGTAAGCTGCTTGATCGTGTGAGTTTTAAAGTATAATCAATATATACAAATATATACATATGAATTTGTATAATTGCCAACATAGCAAAATTAATAGATAATATAACTTTCTGAAAATTATTATGATACTTTATAAAACATATTGAAAGAGAAAAATGTTAATTTTCAGAGTTTATAATTTAATTATCTTTAGTCATATTTTATTCAAACATTATGTAGCCCTATTAATAAAATATGGTAACTGTAGAGTTAAACATTCTCAAGCCTTCTTATTTATTTATAGACAATCTTGGTATCATTCTTAGACAACTATGGAATGTGCATATAGAGCCTAATTACTGCCAGTGTAATTAGAAATAAACTATATTGTCAACATTTTTTTCTAGGATATTACATTGCTTTGGATATATTTGATTTTACTTCTAAGTGTAAGTTGTCCATTCTTTTATGATATATCTATTATATCATAAATATATTTTTTTCTATATATTATGGGCACCTTTAGTAGATAGAAAAATTTACCCTGTGGTGAAGTACAAATAAACTATCTGGTGATCTGATAAATTACATGTTAGCTACTGTCTAACTCATGGCGACAGCAACAATGCATAACCCATGCCATATGATTATATATTTCCCTATGTGCTGTGCTTTTTAGCCAGCACTCAATAAATAATTATCTCTATATATCCCTTTCCCCTTTTTGTCTCCTTCTTCCCACCCTCATCAATATGAATGGTATACCAACAGAAGAATGTGTCCTTTTGGTTTTTAAATTCATTAGCGGTCACTCATTTGTAGACTCTCGTTCTTTCTCAGACTTTCTAGAATCAGTTGTACACAATGTAGTAACAACCAGGTAGTCTATGTCGTAGAAAAGAGTAAAGCTAGAAGACGTCTGTCATGTCTTCCAGGAATTAAACTTACTCTCTGAGGGACATTAGCCTCAAGTTCTGATCCACTGGTTCTTAACCCTGGCTACATATAAGAATCTCTTGAAGAAATGCTGAAAAGCAAAACAAAATACTGCTGCCCAGGCTCTATTCCAGACCAAGTGAATCAAACTCTGAGCTTGTGGCCTCAGCATCCATATTAGTAAAAACTCCATAGGTGATTATAATTGGGAGCCAGATTTGAGAACTGCTATGCTCACTATGAAGCTAAAGGGCTCCAAAAAACATATAATACTGACAAGCTAAGTGAGATTTGGACTAATTTCCCCAAGAGATAGTCTTCATCCTTCTGGAATCTAAAACCTTCCCTAGCCTCCCAAATTTCTCTTCCCCCAAGAAAATACATTATTTTGGAAAGGCTGAAAGCAATCGCTATTATGAGCTGTAAACATTCAGAGTTCACTTAAAGAACTTCCCCCTTGTAAGAGTAAAGGAATAGCAAAAATCATTTTCCTGAAAGGAAATGGGTACATAGGAAATTGGACTGTGTAGGTATAGAAGATCAACAAATATTTTACCTAGCTCAATTGATCGGTAATTACTATATACTAAATGAGAATTTGTTACAGCTGAATGTACCTGTCGACTTCTATATACCTGAGTAGAATTATATAGAAGGAAATGATAAGTAATCAAAGTCAAGTCACACAGAGAAGAGTAATTTTTATTGCCCACACTTCCTTGGCACTTTTTTCACATAATATTTCATTTCACCGCTCAATAATCCAGTGCATTAGGCAGGGTGATAAGTTTTTTCCGTATAATAGGTAAAGAAACTCATGGTGGTTAAGTGGCATACACAAGATGTTACAGCTAGTTAGTGCCAGACCTATAGCTAGACTAAAATTCCCAATATGCCACATCACAACCAATTTCTGGAATAGCATCTATGGTGTAAGGCTTCTGAGAAAACAAAATATATATAAATGTAGGGGAAATCAAATGAGAACACATGTACACAGGAAGGGGAACATCATACTCCGGGGACTGTTGTGGGGTGGGGGGAGGGGGGAGGGATAGCATTAGGAGATATACCTAATGCTAAATGACGAGTTAATGGGTGCAGCACACCAGCATGGCAGATGTATACATATGTAACTAACCTGCACATTGTGCACATGTACCCTAAAACTTAAAGTATAAAAATAATAATAATAAATAAATAAAATAAAATAAATACATGTAGGTGAAATCCTGTTAAATATTTGTGATCTAAGTTGTTGAGATTTTGGCAAATCTTATATTGATTCACTTTTTAATCACTCTTAAATGGGCAACTGCCTAAAGGATATTTTAACTTCCCTTATTCAAAAGATGTTGTGACTGTGTCAGGCGTATTGTATCACATATAGAACTCACCCATACTCTACAAAAATTTCATCATATTACTTCCATGAGATTGAATGATACAGTAAAGGAAGATCTTTCCAGAGAACAAACTTCTAACAATGTAAGTTTCATTTTGTTAGTCATATTGTTTCAGCAATTACAAAAGACCAAATTTCAAAAAGCTATTTATATTAAGGAGGTATCAGCTTCCCCAGCTTTTCCCTCTCCTCTATTTTTCCTAACAACTAATTTCCAGAAACAATGTTTTCCAATTACCTGTTTCAGAAAAGTTACTCACCCATTCTTTCCAAATGATGATCCATCTGAGAGGGAGAGCTGGACACACTGCTGCTGGTGTGGGAAGAGGTCTGGCTCCCAGGACGATGATTCTCTTCTAGAGAAGGAGCAGGAGAAGGACTCTCTGGGATCCGCTCCTGACACAAAAGGAAACACAAAAGGAAATGTCATCTATGCGCCAAGTTTTTATGTTGGTTGAGTCTCTACATTTGAAATGTTGACCTCTCACTTATTGTGAAAGTGTACACATCTACAATAATTGGTCTTAAATACATATATTTAAACAAAAATATATTTTTGATTCTTGTGAAATTAATAAAATATCATGAGGGCTAAATTATAGAAAAAGTCAAAAAAGCATATAGTAAAGGGTCAAGAAAAGTTAATTTCCATTTGCTCTGCTAAAAAATTCATAAATGATTAACAGTGTAGGTGTGTTTTGAAGGTTATTGTTATTGTAGTTTCCAGATTGATGTGAAGTTCATGGCAAGGCCTGGAGTGTGATACTCCTATCTCATTAAGAAGGAGAACTCCCAAATGTAAAGACTTGAGAGCCCTGGAATAAAACTCACAAATTGTGGCACCTGGCACATGTTGAGCTTTTCTGCATGGATAAAATTTATAGAAATAATATACTTGTATATTAGATACCTATAACCTCTCAGACCTTAATAACTTATGTTGAATTCTGCCAACAAAATATTTTAATAGGCTGGGCATGGTGGCTCACGCATGTAATCTCAGCACTTTGGGAGGCCAAGGCGGGTGGATCACCTGAGGTCAGGAGTTCGATATCAGCCTGATCAAAATGGTGAAACCGCGTCTCTACTAAAAATACAAAAAATTAGCCAGGCATGGTGGCAGGCACCTGTAATCCCAGCTATTGGGGAGGCTGATGTAGAAGAATCCCTTGAACCCAAGAGGTGGACATTGCAGTGAGCCGAAGTCACGCCATTGCACTCCAGCCTGGGCAACAAGAGCAAAACTTCATATCAAAAAAAGTATACATATTTTAATAGTCACAGTACACCATTATTGTTTTTTTTCAAACTTACACTATGATCTATCAAGGTCAATTCTTCTACTATTCCATATATTTTTGTAGTTTTCAATAATGTATTTTAATAAAATATTTTTGCATACTTCTGCAGTAATTATTATGGCTCTCAAGACTTCTGATTATTAAAATTGCTATAAAACACTGAAGCTATTCACTATGTTTATGCATCACAAATTGATGACTAAATCCAAATCATTAAGTTAATTTGATCAATAAAAGAACCAAATTGCAGGGTTTATGCACTTATGCAATAAATGTGACTGGGTGATAAACATGCCAGCACAGAGAATGTTCTATAAAATATTTAATTCATCCATAATAAATTTCTTCAATTAAATGTTGTGTCTAATTATCTGTAATCACATCATTATTCTAATCATTATAACATTAAGAAATAATTTGTCGAATATGTGCTTGTACATTTCCACATTGATTTTGCATGAGAAGCCCAAATAACCCCCCTAAAAAACTGTTCGTTTAATGCAAAAGTAATAGCATGAGAGTTAAAATTTATTATTTCATTAGTAGTAGTTAACATTATCCAATGTCTGGCATTGCAGCGGGCACAGTGATGCCACCTCCCCAACTTAAAATCTCCACTCCACATCTTAATTACAGGAACCTGTGAATTTGTTACTTCACATGGCCAAAGGGACTTTGCAGATGCAATTGAGAATCATGAAATAGGGAGATTATACTGGATTATCTTAGTGGACCCAATCTGATCACCAGGATTCTAAACTGTGGAAGACACAGGCAGAAAAGAAGGGTCAGAGGGAGACATGACTGCAGAGGAATTGTCACAGAGATGCAACATTGCTGGCTTTGAAGATGGAAGAAGGGAGCCATGAGCAAAGAGATGTGAGTGACCTTTAACAATAAACATTGGGCACTTCTAGAGGGGGTAGAGAGGGAGAGAGAAAGGGCTGAAAAACTACCTATTAGACACTATACTCACTACCTAGGTGACAGGATCATTAGTATCCTAAACCTCACCATCACATAATATATTCATGTAAAAAACTTGCACATGTATCCCATATATCTAAATAAAAGTTGAAATTATTTTAAAAGAAGAAAAGAAAACAGATAACAGATTCTTCTCTGGAGCCTATAGAAAGAAATGCAGCACACCTTGACCACACCTTGCTTTTAGCCTAGTGAACCTCATGTCCAACTTCTGACCTACAGAACTCCAAGATAATAAATTTGCACTGTGTTAAACCACTAAATTTGTGGCAATTTGTTATAGCAACAATAGAACACTAATACGGTCATCAATGTAGTATGCATATTTTTAAATTTTGTTTGACATTATTGCTTAGCATTTCATTAACATCCAACAATTTTAGTGAAATGAATAGTAGATTTTGAGTATATTAGCTACAATATATGCTAATTAAATAGCAATAATTTTAAATGTATATTACATGTTAAGGACTTTATAGCTGTTGTCATGCCTCCAAAACAATGTTTCCAAACAGAGTAGAATACTGATACATTTCTTTTATATTTAGTCTGCAGGAAAATATCTACTTGTCACATAATGTCTGCACGGAAAAATAAAAAGAAATACAGAAGCAAAACAGAAGAAAAGAATCAAGTTTTTTCCCCCAATAATTCTATTCACATTTTGGAGGGATGATATGGGTACTGACAGCAATATCCATACAGCCCTTCTATCATACCCTTTCACTTTTTAAAAATAGACTTGTAGTTTATCAGTTGTGAAATTCAACTTAAACTATAATGCTTTCAAATATATTATTGAAATAGTATGTGTGTGCATGTGTATATATATAAAAGGAATTTAATATATGTGGCCATTTTTGCCTTTCATCATTGTGTCTCACTGATTCCATGCCAAAATATGTGCAAAAACCGCAGAACATTCACTATTTGTGTTTGAATTCCAACCCTGAAAATTTCCTTTAAATATGTGTAATTCAATGAACTATGTTTATCTCTAATGGACCTCTGAATGAATGGAAAGGGACAAAGTGCAGCAGTTATTGTGAAAAAATAAAACTTACAAAAGGAAAATCACTGTGTAACAGCAAACCAGAATCACATATACAGCAATGTATGCTGCTGGAATAAAAATAAACAATTTTTAAGTGATCCCTACAGTTTCATGGTTTAAAAAAGCAAGAGAATCCAACTGACAGTGAAACTTGGTCTTGCTCACTCTGCCTAATAAAAACTGAATGCTCATTATGAGTAAATAAAAATCATAAGAGCACCTATAAAAACAGAAAATATCAAGAACGTTAACAAAAATGCAATTGATATTAACTAATATTAAGAAAAAATAGTGGATTCCCCTAACATATTTAAAATTAGCATAGGATAAAATGATATAAACTCCAATAATTTATGCTGAAACTCCTTCTTTGCATTTTCAGCAGCATATTATGTAAAACAATGAACAAACTTTGAGAACATAATTTAGAAGGTGAATATTAAGAGTGACAGTAACATTTTGTATGAAGCAAATTTTCTCCTTTAAGATTTTGTAGCCTGTACTTACCAAATTCGATCAAGTTTCAGTCCATTGTTATTTTTCTAAGGCAGCACAGAAGTCAGACTTTTTTCACCATGCAAACCATGTTATATGAATGCAGTGTCGTACATTGATTAAGAATTAGGTGTTGTGTTTTTTTTTAAATCTCTGTGGAAGTGGAATGTTTAAGTTCTCCTAAAATAATGAATAATTATATGAACAATTTCTTCTTTGCAAGTAAACAGATCAATTTTTTAGCCCTGTAATAAGTATGCATCTATTTAGCTACTTAACTGCAATATGCTTTGGTTCATTAGGTGGCTACTGTTGTGTCTCAGCCTAGTTAAAATTTCACAGCAAGTTAATCTGTTTTATTACAAATGAGAACACAAGTGATAATGCCTTCACCATTTGCCAAATACAGGGTTAACAGTATTTGCAACAAATCAATAAGTATTTAAAAAGGAAACTTGCAAATCTAAAACTCTAATCACTTTTACTCATTGATAACTTCATTTATGTGGCATTTATGACTTTTACAACCCTGTTACTTTTCACATATTTAATTTGTGCCCCATCAAAAATAGCTGCAGCTCCTATGAAACACCACAGAAGTCTTCTCCAAATCCAAAGTAGCAAAGGACAGAGATTTCCAAAATTTATACATTCTCACAATTCCTATTTTTCCCTGCAATTAGTAATACAATCTTCAATAATAACTCAGATTCTGATGTGTACTCACATAGTTCAAGGACTTTGCCTAAAAAGAATAAGTTGTTACGGAAAATGCTATTAATTAGTACATACAATCCCTTCCTCTACTATACCAGTTCCTTTTCTTTAGAGATATATCACAAATGGTTAAAAATGTTGCCCATTTTATCAAATTATTTGAAAGTACATTTGAACCTTCATAAAGAATGGGACAATGTTTAGAAAATTTAGTTTTTTATAAGGTTTAACACAGTCAATTTGGCTTAAGATTCAGTTTATTGGCACTAAAGTATCAACTCTGACCATGTTCATAGAGGCCATTTATTTCATTTCAATATATTATTTTACATTCTTGGAAATATGGAAGTATACACAGAATTTATGAAGTACTAACATATGTGTGTTAAATATCTCTACCATGTGGTAATATGTATGTGCACATGTTCCATTGCCTTTTAAAAACAACTGTCTCAACGTTGAATTTCCTCTGATATTTTATTATATTGATTTCTTTCAAGAATTCAGTAGAATTATGTAATAGATGTCTTCTTTTTTTATTTAGTTTGACTTCAACTCTCATTGTAATTACTTTTCCAAATGTTAATCTATTAATGTGTTCCTAAAGGATTTAATGGCATTTTGCTACTGAGGAGTGGCTTTTGGAAGTTTATTTGAATGTTGGATATTTTATGCATGTATTTGTCTTGATATTTCATATTTAATTGATATGCTTCTTCTGTGTTGTCACCAGAGTTCTGCAGAAACAGAACAGACTGTAACTTGAAAGACTTTAATAATAAAACCAGAGACAGTAAAATAAAAAATTTGCTCATTGTTTTTACTAACGTAGCTTACCACTAAATAGGGGGAGTACTTTATGCTGAAAGTTGGTATATCTAAATACTATTGGAAGCATGACACTTTATGGATCTTTATGAACCAATTCAAGCATTGGTCTGTGTTCTACAATCACCAATTTACCATTGAATTTAAATTAACAGTGATGAATATAGCAAAGTTTTCATAAACTTAAAAAATGGAAAAAGGGCTCTTGAGGTTAAAAAGGAAAAATTATGCAATTTAGCAATTGTTAAACTCCCTATTCCAGGGTAGAATTTATCACAATATATGTGTTTCATTAGTCTATGAAACAGTGAATCCGCAATACTCTTACCTTGTTTCTCTAGGAATGGTTAAGAAACTCACCACTCAGAAAAAATATTCTAGATAACGGCAGCTTTCACTCTTCAGTGGTTTTGAAGGCATAATTTCAATCCCGAATTAGAGGAGATAATATAATATTATGCATAAGAAATGATGCCAGATTGGGGGTGCAGCTGGAATATGTAAGCACGAGAGTCCAAAATAATACACACACCCTTTGTGTGACCTATGTGGTGTCTGAACAAAGAACCCTCTCATCTCTTTAATGTGATGAACTTGTCCTGGAAAAGGCTTACAGATTAAAGGAATCAGCCATATCTGACCATAGCATAAAATACCTTCAAGTGGGAGAATGAATAGTTCAGTGGGAAAAATGCATGGTTTCCAAGTTAAGTTGTGGGCTTGTAACTCTGCCACCCACCCACCCACCCAAACTAACAAACAAACACAAACAACCCTTAATGCCCACTAAATGTATCTTCGTCTCATGCTCTGAGATAGTAATAGCTTTCTCTTTCCATAGAGCACTTAGAATGAGACCCAAGTAGTGATTCTTGTCAGTGAATTTGAATTATCACACAAAAACCTCTGTGTTGACTAATTTTAATACCAGATGTTCACACGCTAATGCCACTGCCGTGTGACCATTTCCTATCAATTCATTAATTGCCAGCTGCTCAGCCAAACAAGAAACAGAGCTAATCAGATGGTGTTGGTAAACTGCCAAATAACAGCTTCCAACTTAAATTTCTTAAATGTGTTATCAGAACAAAACTATGGCACACTGACATTATACAGTTTCCCACAAATAGAGAAAAATGTACTGTAAGACACTTAAATGTCAAACAGGGAATAGAATTCCATACCAGTAAGGTATTTTACCTATTTTTGTCTTCATGATTTTGCCACATTCAGTAATATAATTGAAGGATTAATAGTCTTGCAAGCCTAATGATCATAATGCAATTTCCAATTCATGTTATAGCTATATTAGTTATTTAGCTACACATGCTAATAGTTGAGCCAACACCAAAGGGATCTGAGCCAGAACTAAAATTTACCATGTGCCTTGTGTAGCAATATTCCCAAACTATCTACTGACAAAAAACAACAAGAAACATTTGTTTGCAACTTGTAATGTCTTTCCCACTTTTGGATTTAAAGTCTGTATTACTAATAATAGTTTATGTTGGAAACACTGCCCAAAGTTTAATATCCAGTGACTCCTTTAGCTTTTACTCACTCATGCAACAAATATTTATTGACTGCCTAACGCACCACGTTGGGGATGAAAGGAAGGCATATGTGTGTTTTCATATGCATTGTAGGTGCCCACGGTGCAAACTATACTAAATAATTCACATGTAAACATTCAAATATTATTTAAAATTAAACACCAACCAGGTCAAATTTGATATTAAATTGGGCACCCTTCTCCAGCCCCCATCAGGCTCATAATCTTTATTCTGGGGTATCAAATCAAGGCAACTATCACAGGTAAATCAATGCTGTAGGCCAATAACTGTAGGTGAATTTAATGGTGGGGCCTCCCTTTGTCCCATTACTGATAAGAGAACATACAGAAGAACCTACATAGAGGAAGCCACTTATATCTCATGCTAGCTTTTGGCCACAATATTGTTTTCTACTTATTACTATTTCTATATGGATTATTGAATGTAAAACATAAAGAAAATATTGGCTAATACATGCTGTGCACTTAGTAGGTGCCAAACATTGCTCTAAATGTGTTAACATGCTTTATCTCACTTAGGCCTATGTTAACACTATGAAGTAGTTACAATTAGCATCTCCATTTCATTGGGACCATGAGGCAATCTGAGACACAGGCAAGTTAATTAATTTGCCTAAGGTCACATAACAAGGAGTGGTAAAACCAGGATTCAAATCCAGGCAGATAGCAATTATACCATACTACCTCTAATAAAATCTGCTTCTGAATGCATCTTATTTAACTAACAAATTATGATGGCTTTAGCCAGAAGTGGCATATAATTCTATAAATCCTTTTGGGGGTGGAGGTTTTCTATGTCTGTTTCTTTTCTGTGTTTTGGACAAAGCAATATAACAGAGTATTTTGCATACATTCAACATTTGCTAAATCAGTGAATTCTGTTTTCTAACAGAAAGTGATGAAGACAATAGCACAATAAGCCAAAAGTCAATAGTAGCTGTCCTTTCTGGGTAACTGAAAGAATAATTTCAAGACACTTGCTGATTTTTAAGTCTTTATTATCCTTTCTTGTTCTCAAAATGACTGATGGTTCTAGACCTTCCATTCACCCTATTTAATGGAGTGCTGTCCAATGGAACTTTCTCCAATGATGAAAACATTCTATAACTGTGCTGTCTAATATAGTAGCCACAAATAACATGTGACTATTGAGCACTTGAAATGTGACTAATTCATTAACTGAAGTTTGAATTTTATATTTTTATTTAAGTTAAAATACCCACACATGCCTAGTGGCTACCATTACGGGCAGTGTTGCTATAGTAGATATATCCTATGCATCTAAGATGCATTGTTAATTATTTAAATCCATGAAGGCAAGGAAATCTATCAAACTATGTAAGCCATAAATATTTTCTTTGGAATCTAAGCTTCTACAAGTTATATCACTTCTGAGACCTAAAATGAAAAAGGCTTAGCCAGGTGTATTTTCCCTTGTGGTAGCTTTCACTATTTGAGGACATTTGCAGGCATCCACACTTCTAATCACCAAACATTTTCTTTTTTTTACCAATATTTACATGCTGATAAAAAAATGATCCAAATGCAATTAAGCTAAACTCCCTTCCAATTTAATACCATTCTCTGTTAAAGTGGTATAAATTAAACTGGTAAACAAACTTTTTTCATTCACTTTTATAGAGAATTCTCAAATATTTAGTTAATGTGTCATGCTTTGTTGAAGGTATTGAAAAGTAAACTGGTTGGAAAAGTTTTTGTTGTTTGCTTTGCTTAATAGATATAAGAAAAGATTGCCGTGAAGAGTCTGAAGTGATACCCATTTCATATGTAGTACAATATTTTTAAAGGAGGGTGCTGCCTTGGACCTGCTCAAACTAGAGCCAATTGTTAAATATTCATTAATTTTGTGAGCCAGTTGTTAAGCTGTTGGTAACCTGAAATCTGCCACGATAGAAATGTTTACACAAAGAAAATTGGCAAATGTTATAAATAGCAGTTTTCTTCTTATTTTGATTTGTTTGGTTTTTGGGGAGCTGGTTTTTAGGCATATCACTGGATGCTGGCCCAAAAATAATAAAATCGAAAACAGTAAATATATAAGTCCATTATAGAAATCAGAGATTTTTCTTTCATCCTAACATTCAACATTATCTGACTAAGCAAATATTAAGTTCATGAATAAGTACACCAAGTGCTGTGTTCATTTGAGTCTATGAGCACTCAAACAACCAAAACTAGACTTGTAACATTATGAAAACAAATGTATTTCGTGTGTATGCACTCAATCACAGTTGCATACATCCCATAACCTTCTTTTTAGGAATGTGAAAAATAAGAGACAAAAATAGCACTCTAACAAATCACTCAGTATTAAAATTTTAAGCAATGAGAAGGTAGATACATGTAAATAATTATATGTAGTTTCACTTCTTTTTATAACTCAGAAACCCTGGTCTCATAGGGCATAAAAGCAAACTCCACTATGTTTTCAAAAGAATAAATATGGGTTCATTTTGTCTATCTAAATACTTAATCGAGAATTATATAATTATTTATTTTGTTCATTATTTGTCTCTCCCATTTAAATCATAAACCTTGAGCACTACCTGATACACAATAGTGATTCAATGAATGGAAAACAAAAAATATGAATGGATCAACAAATTTTTTAAACCAGATACCAGTGGTTTCATCTGATTCAATTAATTGTTAACAAATTAGCCTGCCAGCAAATGACAGATTGACTTGCTTGAATTAAAATGAAAAGTTAACATGGCTTACAGATTAGACTAACCAGTTTTCAGATGTAAACTATAATTTAAATATAAATTTTATATGTAAATATAGAAGTAAAGTATAAAGAAAGCAAGATCCATTTTGCAGAAAGGAAAACTGAAGTGCAGAAATATTTTAAAAGTTGCTCCTAGGACCTTTGTTTAGAAATGCTAAATGCTAGAAATAAGTATGATTTGTATATCCAGTCATTTATTATCTTGATATATTCTACGCATCATATAATCCTATTATTCAAAGAACATACTAGAAGACTACTTTCCAGTGGAATTAGTGATCAAAGTGTTATGATCATCAGTGACAAGCATTAGCACAGGCATCAGCTTAATATAAACCAAGCTAAAGAAGAGTGGCATGTGTTTAGAAGGACACTGAAAACATGTTTCAATATCACAGCTTGTTTTTTTTTTAACCCCAGGGATTTTTAAAAACGATATGGCAAAAGGGATGTGTTATGCAGTTCTTGCATTCATATAAAGAAATACCTGATACTGGGTAATTTATAAAAAAAAATGAGATGTAATTGGCTCATGGTTCTGCAGGATGCACAGGAAGCATAGCACTCGTGTCTGCTTCTGGGGAGGCCTCAAGAAGCATTTACTCATGGAAGTTGAAGCAGGAGCAGGCATATCACATGGCTAGAGCAGGAAAAAGGGTGTGGAGGTAGGTGCAACACATTTTTAAATAACCAGATCTCATGTGAACTCAGAGTGAGAACTCACTTATCACCAAGGGGATGGCCTGAGACATTCACAAGGGATTTGCCCCCATAATCCAAACACCTCCCATCAGGTACCACCTCCAACATTGGGGATTACATTTCAATATGAGATTTGAGCAGCAACAAATATCCAAACTATATCATTCCACCCCTAGACACCCCCAAATCTCATGTCCTTTTCACATTGCAAAATACAATCATGCCTTTCCAACAGTCCCCAAAAGTCTTGGTTTGTTTCATCATTAACTCAAAAGTCCAAAGTCCAAAGTCTCGTGTGAGACAAAGCATGTCCTTTCCACCTATGAGCCTATAAAACTAATTGGTTACTTAAAATCAATTAATTCAAATTACTTACTTCCAAGATACAACAGGGGTATAGGCATTGGGTAAACATTCATGTTCCAAAAGAGAGAAATCAGCCAAAAGAAAGGTCCCACGCAAGTTCAAAACCCTGCAGGGCAGTCATTAAATCTTAAAGCTCGAAAATAATCTCCTTTGACTCCATGTCCCAAGTGCCCTTAACTCCAGGGAACACTAATGCAAGTGGTGGACTCCTGAGGCCTTGGGCAGCTCTGCCCCTGTGGCTTTACAGGGTTCAGACCCTGTGCTGCTCTCACAGGTTGTTGTGCATCTGTGGCTTTTCCATACTGAAGTTGTAAACTGCCAGGGGATCTACCATTCTGGGGTCTCAGAGCCCGTAGCCCCTTTCTCATAGCTTCACTAGGCAGTGCCCCAGTGGGGACTCTGTGTAAGGGCTCCAACCCCGTTATTTTCCCTCTGCACTGCCCTAGTAGAGGTTCTCTGTGAGGGCTCTGCCCCTGCAGCAGGCTTCTGCCTGGACACCCAGGCCTTCTCATACATTTTCTGAAACCTAGCAAAGGCTGCTAAGTCTCATTCACTCAAGCATTCTGTGTGTCTGTAGTATTAACATCAGACAGAAGCTGCCGAGGGATATGGTGGCTTGTGTCCTCTGGAGTAGTGGCAAGAGCATTATCTGGGGTCCTCTGAGCTGAGGCTGGAGCTAAAGCAGCTGAGATGCAGGGAGCTGTGTCCCAAGGCTGTGCAGGGGAGCAGAGCCCTGGGCCTGGCCCAAGAAATAATTCTTCCCTCCTAGGCCTCTAGGCTTGTGATGGGAGGGGCTGCATGAAGTTCTATGAAATACCTTTGAGGTCTTTGTCTCATTGTTTTGGATATTAGCACTTAGCTTTCTTTTAGATATGCAAATATGTCTAGCAAATGGTTGCTCCATAGTCTGCTTTTATTTCTCTCCCAAAAGAGCTTTTTTCTTTTTTTGCCACATAGCTAGGCTGCAAATTTTCCAAACTTTAATGCTCTGCTTCCTGTTTAAATATAACTTTCAACCTTTCATTATTTCTTTGCTTCCACATAAGAGCATATGTTGTTAGAAGCAGCCAGGCCACATCTTGAACACTTTGATGCTTAGAAGTTTCTTATGCCAGATATCTCAGGTCATCACTCTCAAGTTCAAACTTCCACAGATCCCTAGGGCATGAATCGGATGCAACCCAGGATCTTTGCTAAGGTATAACACATGTGAACTTTGCTCCAGTTCCAAATAAATTCCTCACTGCTATCTGAGATCTCAGCAGCCTAGATTTCACTGTCCATATCACCATCAGCATTTTGGTCACTACCATTTAATCAGTCTCTAACAAGTTCCAAACTTTTCCTCATTTTTCTGTCTTATTTTGAGCCCTCCAAATTCTTCCAACCTCTGCCCATTACCCAGTTCTAAAGTCAGCTTCACATTTTCAGGTATCTTTACAACAATGTTTTATCCCTCAGTACCAGTTTTCTGTATTAGGCCTTTCTTGCGTCGCTATAAACAAATACCTGACAATGGTTAACCTATAAGAAAAAAAGTTTAATTGGCTCATGGGTCTGCAGGCTGTGCAGGAAGCATATCACTGGCATCTGCTTTGGGGAGGCCTCAGGAAGATTTTACTTATGGCAGCTGGTGAAGTGGGGGCAGGCACATCACATGACCGGAGCAGGAGCAAGAGAATGTGATGGGGCACGTGCCACACCCTTTTAAACAACTAGATCTTGTGTCAACTCAGAGTGAGAGCTCAGTTTTCAGCACAGAGATGCCCCAAGCCATTCATGGGGGATCCACCCTCATGATCCAAACACCTTCCACCAGGCCCTGGCTCCAACATTGTGGATTAGATTTCAACATGAGATTTGGGTGAGGACAAATATCCAAACTATATCAAAATGTAATTTTGATCTGAAAGAAAAAAAAACATGACAGTAAGAGTAATTTAAACATATCAAAATAATTTGATAGCTCTTTCTGTAAATTTTCACAAGTTTTATATAACTAAACACATTTTTTGGACCCTTTTTATAATGTGCCCTAGTCTCATACTGCATCTTTCAAATTTTGCATATTGTTTTTCTGTAGGTATGTTTTAAATCTATTATACTATACACAACAAAGAGGTTTTGGGAAAGGCCATTGTGACTTTTCTTAATTCATAGTGGATTTGTCAGATGGAAATCAAATTTCATAATGAAGACACTTACTTCTAATAATTAAATGTTAAATATTCTGATAATGCATATTTGGAAACACAGTTTACCTAAATGGTAAAGATGATATAAAAGACCTGGTGACTTCAACTAAGATATTTTGTAAAATAATGAGTTATACAAATTTAAATATTTGTTTTATTATGTAAAACTGCTAGGATCATAAAATTTAAAGAACAGTGAGTAGATATTCACATTTCAAACAGACTTTCTAAAAGAGAAAACTAAAATTCAGCAGAGACTGATGGAAACCCCAAAAACAAGTAATGAGAGGGTTTGAAGCAGCTTACCAGGATGGGGGCTGGCTGGGGACCAAGAAAAGCTCCTGGACATGGGGAAAAAGTAACGGAGAAGCTCCCAGGACTCCACACTCCTGCAACAGACTTTAGCAATCTTGGCTTATAGAAGAACCCATCAATCACCACAGGCCTTGGGCCTAACACAGGTCATTGCTAGTGATTGTGCAGAGGTGTTGCTCCAGACAGGGAACCCACCCAAAATCCCACAGGCATCCAATCTCAGAGCAGCTTCAACCTGGAACCATTCTGAGAGCCTAGATACCAAGGATCTAGATCCTGCCCCAAGGCAGCACTGACAAGGCTGCTGCCATTGCCAACATTGGACTGAGGAAGGATCTGGGAAACTGAATGCTCCCACACACCCCTAGGACAATCTCCGCCACCCTGCTTGAGGCTGCTGCAAGATTGAGGCATAAGCAGACTTCACTTTCTACAGCTTCTTATCCATGCTGCTCACCTGAGAGGTGCACCACTCTCTCTGGTTATGGGCCCACACCTGGTGCAATTTTGAGAGTGTAACACTGGGCTGTGCCCCACCAATGGACAGAGTTTGGGCTGACTCTGCTGCATCTGCCACCTGGCTGAAGAGGGAGGAGACTGGACAATTCCACGCACTCCTAAAACAATTCCCACTCCCCTGCTACCGCTTCTGTGAGACAAAGATGTGGACAGGCTGTACTTTCCAGAGCTACCTGCGCATGGTGCTCCCGCTATGAGGGGCCCCACCCTCCCTGATGGCAGGTATACAGCATAGCCATGACAGTCCATTCCTGAGAATTCCACTGGTGTCATGAGGACAACCCCACTTTTGCTTATCACAGCCAGCACCTGAAGTCATTACCTTCAAGGAAAAGTCTGCTTGCCTAGACCCATATCCCCAACACTCAAGCATGCCATGCAGGACCCAGGAAGTTTCCCAGCCTAGATTATTATTGCTGGCATTTGATTGGTGCTGCCAGAGTCTGAAGTCATACTGACCCAATCTACCAATACCACAACTGATGATACCCACCCACATGTGCTACCAGCAGGCCAGGGGAACTAGCCTCCACAACCAATTGCAGGCACCAGCAACACGAGCATGAACCACTTGATTTCAAGTGAGTTGCTCCATCATCACTACTGCATTCAGTCACACCACACCAGCAGTCCAGGGGCCCTGGGAACCTGCCCAAATGCATGGCCCACCACTGCCACTACCAGCATCCGAACAAGCTACCTGGAGGCCCACGAACTGGCCCTTCAGGACTCATCAACACTGGTGCCTATGTAAGCTGCTCTGGGGACTAAGAACAGGCAGACACAGCCTATTGATGCCACCACTAGAGCCTGAAGAATGGTCCATCTGGCATCCCAGTCCCCAGCAAAATTTCAGCACAGCCTTAACAAATAACTGTACCCTAACCACGGAGGAAATCACAGATACCAATGACCCTGTGTATTACAGAAAAAAATGTATAGATTACACTACCATGGGCACCCAAAGTCAAAGCCAAAGTATCCGACTCAACCAATAACATATATACATTTTCAGCAAAAATCCTCCTGTATAAAAGCAATTTCAAAAACTTGGAAAAAGCTACTGTTACACCAGGAAACATGAAAAGCAAGGAAATATGACACAATAAAACCATAAAAAATTGTTCAGGAAAAGAAATGAATCAAAATGAAATTACTGAATGACAGATAAAATATTCAAAATGTTAATTTTAGAGAAGCTCAATCACATGAAAGAGAAATCTGAAAACAAATGCAAATAAATTGGAGAATCAATTCAGGACATAAATGCGAAATTTACCAAGAAGACAGATATTGTTTTTTTTTTTTAATAGAAATTCCAGAACCGAAAAGTTCATTGAAGGATATATAAAGTACATTTGAATATTTCAGTGATAGACAAGACCAAGCAGAAGGAAAAGTCTCATAACATGAAGACCAGTCTTTGGAAATAATCCAGTCAGTCAAAAAAATAATTAAAAGAATGAATAAAGACTAGAGCACATTTTGAAGTACATAAAGCAACCAAACTTAAGAATTATCTGTGTTTCCGAGGGGGAAGAAAGAACCAAAAGTCGAGAAAACCTATATGAGGGAGTAATTTATGGGGATTTTGCATTTCTAGCAAGAGTGTCAGACATCTAAAGGAGAATTAGCAATCTCCAAGAATATACATTGCAAAAAGGACTTCACCACACCATATTCTAGTCAAAATAACTAAAATCAACAGGAAATAAATAATTTTAAAATCAGAAAGAGAAAAACATCTAGTCGTCTATAAAGGAACACCCATCAGACAGTGGAATTCTCAGCTGAAATGTTACAGGCCAGAAGAGAATTGTATGACATTTTCAAAGTGCTAAAAGAAGAAAAAACTGCCAGACAAGCATTTTTTATCCACAAGAGGAAGCTTCATAAGTTAAGGAGAAATAAAAGATTTCCCAGACAAGCAAACACTGATAATTCCTCCCCACCATACTGATCATACATTAAATGTTCAAAAGAGTTTTAAACATGGAAACAAAAGTTCACTATTCGCCATCACGAAAACATGTGGAAGTATAAAACTCACAAGACTTACAAAACAGTCATACAAAGGAGAAAGAGCAATAATCAAATGACAACATGATGGAATTCCATCAAATCATAAAGAAACATAGAGAATAAGGAAAAAGCAAATAATTTATAAAACCAATTAAAAGGAATAAAAAACATGACAGGCACAAAACTTCACATGTCAACAATAACCTGGAATGTAAGTAGATTAAATGCTACACTTAAGACATAGATGGGTGAAATACATTAAAAAACATGATCCAACTTTATGCTGGTAACAAGAAACTTTCCTTTAAAAACAAATACAGAATCAAAGGGGTGAAAAAAAAGATATTTCATGCAAATGAAAATCAAAAGCCAGCAGGAGTAGCTATATTTATATCAGATACAACAGACTTTAAATCAAAAACAGTAAAAAAAAAAGACAACTCAAGTGCTATTGATAAAATGATCAATTCAGCAAGAGGATATCATGATTCTAAAAATATAAGCACTCAACATGGGAGAACCATCTATAGAATATTCTATCTAACAACTACAGAATATTCCTTCTTCTCTTCAGCACATGGAACAGTCTCCAAGATAGACCACATACTTGGCCACAGAACAAATATCAACACATTTTTAAAATTCAAATTCATATCCAGCATCTTCTCAGACCACAATGGAATAAAACTAAAAATCACTGAAAAGGAAAACTAAGGAAACTACAAATATATGGAAATTAAACAACATGCTCTTGAGCAATCATTGGCTTAAGGAAGAAATTAAGAAGGAAATCTAGAAATTTCTTAAAACAAATGAAAATGGAACCACTACATATCAAAACCAATGAGACATACAAAAATTGTGCTAAGAGGGAAGTTTATACCGTTAACTGCCTACTTCAAACATGTAGAAAGCTTACAAATTATCAACCTAACAACACACCTCAAGGAGCAAGAAAAGCAAAAAAGCAAAAAAAAAAAAATTAGCAGAAGGAATAAATATCGGAGCAGAACTAAATGAAATAAATAATGAAAAAGTATGAAAAACCAACATGAGAAATTAGCTCTTTGAAAACATAAACAAAATTGATAACCCATTAGCTAGACTAACAAAAGATACAAATAAAAATCATAAATAAAAAGGAGACATTACAATTGATTCCACAGAAAAATGAAAGATCATCAGAGACTACTATGAAGAAGTAAAAGCTTGCATACTTGAAAACTTAGAGGAAATGGATAAATTCCTAGAAACTTACATTTTCTCAAGATTGAACCAAGAAGAAATATAAAACCTGAGCAGAACAATAATGAGTAGCGGGATTGAATCATTAATACAAATAACCATCAAACAAAATAAAGCCCATGATCAGGTGTATTCACAGCCAAATTCTACTAACACCAATCATCCTGAAATTGTTACAAAAAGTTGAGGAGGAGGAAATTATCCCTAAATAATGCTATGAGGCCAGTAACATCCTGATAACAAAACCAGAGGACAACACAACAATAAAAGGAAACTACAGGCCAATATCCTTGAAAAGCATAGACACAAATATCCTCAACAAAATATTAATAAATTAAGTCAATAACACATCAAAAAGATAATATATAATGATCAAGTGTGTTTTATACTAGGAATGTAAGGATGAATCTATATATACAAATCAATAAATGTGATAATCTCAGCACTTTGGGACACGAAGTTGAAAGAAGGGCTTGAGGTCAGAAATTCCAGGTCAGCCTAGGCAACATAGTAAGACAACTACCTCTACAAAAAATAAAATAAAAAAAAAAACACATTAGCCAGGCATGGTGGAACATGTCAGTAGTCCCAGCTACTCCAGAGGCTGAGGTGGGAGAATCACTTGAGCCCAGGAGTTTGCAGCTGCAGTGAGCTATAATTGCACCACTGCTCTCCAGCTTGAATGAGAGAGCAAAACACTGTCTTTAAATAAAGAAATACATAAATACATAAATAAGATATATTACACAATCCAAATTAAAAACAAAAATCATATAATCATCTCAACACATGCAGAAAATGCGTTTAAAAAAAATCCAACTTCCCTTCATGATAAAAGAGCTCAATGAACTAAGGTTCTGTAAAAGGAAAATACCTCAAAACAATGAGAACCATTATGACAAACCCACAACCAGTATCATACTGACTGGAGAAAAGTTGAAAGTATTCTAAGAACTGGAACAAGACAAAGATGCCTATGCTCACCAGTCTGATTCAACATAGTACTGGAGTCCCAGTAATAAGGTCTGGCTCTGTGTCCCCACACAAATCTTACCTTGAATAGTAATAATCCCCAAGTGTCAAGGGCAGGACCAGGTGGAGGTAATCAAATCATGGGGGTGGTTTCCCCCATGCTGTTCTTATGATACTGAGTGAGTCTCAGGATATCTGGAAGTTTTATAAGCATCGGGCATTCATTTCCACTGCTGGCAGTCATTCTCTCTCCTCCTGCCCCGTGAAGAGCTGCTTTCTGCCATGATTGTAAGTTTCCTGAGGCCTCCCCAGTCATGTGGAACTGTGAGTCAATTAAACCTCTTTTCTTTATAAATTACTCAGTCTCATAGCATCATGAGAATGAGCTAATATAGTAAATTGTATGGAGATAGTGCGGCACTGCTGTAAACATACCCAAACATGTGGAAGCAACTTTGGAACTGTCTGGGTAACAGACAGAGGTTGGAACACCTTGGAGGGCTTAGAAGAAGACAGGAAGATGTGATAACGTTTGGAACTTTCTAGAGACTCATTGAATGGGTTTGACCAAAATGCTGACAGTGATATGCACAATAAAGTCCAGGCTGAGGTGGTCTTAGATGGAGATAAAAAACTTGTTGGGAACGTGAATAAAGGTGACTCTTGCTATGCTTTAGCAAAGAGATTGGCAGCATTTTGCCCCTGCCCTAGAGATCTGTGGAACTTTGACCTTGAGAGAGATGATTTAGGGTATCTGGTGTAAGAAATTTCTAAGTAGCCAAGCATTCAAGAGGAAGCAGACCACAAAACTTTGGAAATTTTGAAGCCTGATGATGCAATAGAAAAATCCCATTTTCTGGAGAGGAATTGTAGCCAGCTGCATAAACTTGCATACGTAATGAGAAGCCAAATGCTAATCACCAAGACAATGGGGAAAATGCCTCCAGGGCATGTAAGAGATCTTCCCATCACAGGTTTGGATGCCTAGGAGGGGGAAATGGTTTCCTGGGCAGGATTCAGGGCCCCCCTGCTGTGTGCAGCCTAGGGACTTGGTGCCCTTCGTCCCAGCTGCTCCAGCTGTGGCTAAAAGGGGCCAATATACAGCTCAGTTCAATGTTTCAGAGGGTGCAAGCCCCAAGCCCTGGTGGCTTCCATGTGGTGTTAGGCCTGCAGGTGTGCAGAAGACAAGAATTGAGGTTTGGGGACCTCTGCCTACATTTCAGAGGATGTATGGAAACCTTTGGATATCCAGCAGAAGTTTGCTGCAGGGACACAGCCCAAAAGGAGAACTTCTGCTAGGGCAGTGCAGAAGGAAAATGTGTCATGTGACCCCCACACAGATTCCCCCACTGGGGCACTGCCTAGAGGAACATTGAGAAGAGGGCCACTGTTTTCCAGACCATGGAATGTTAGATCCACCAACAGCTTTCACCATGCTCCTGGAAAAGCCACAGACACTCAACACCATCCTGTGAAAGTAGCTGGGAGGGTGCTGTACCCTGTGAAGACACAGGGGCAGAGCTTCCCAAGGCCATGGGAGGCCACTTTTGCATCAGCATGAACTGGATGTGAGATATGGAGTCAAAGAATATTGTTAGGGAACTTTAAGGTTTAATGATTGCCCTATTGGATTGCGGACTTGTATATGGTCTGTGGCTCCTTTGTTTTGGCTGAATTTCTCCCATTTGGAATGAGTGTATTTGCCCAATCCCTGTCCCCCATTATATTTAGGAAGTAACTAACTTGCTTTTCATTTTACAGACTCATAGGCAAAAGGAACTTGCCTTGAGTCCCTTCTCAGATAAAACTTCGGACTTGGACTTTTGGGTTAATGCCGGGATGCATTAACATTTGTGGGGACTAGGCCAGGTGCAGTGGCTCATGGCTGTAATCCCAGCACTTTGGGAGGCCGAGGCAGGTGGATCACAAGGTCAGGAGATCAAGACAATCCTGGCTAACACAGTGAAACCCCGTCTCTACTAAAAATACAAAAAAGTAGCTGGGCATGGTGGCGGGGGCCTATAGTCCAGCTACTCAGGAGGCTGAGGCAGGAGAATGGTGTGAACCCGGGAGGTGGAGCTTGCAGTGAGCCAAGATAGCACCACTGCACTCTAGGCTGGGCGACAGAGAGAGACTCCATCTAAAAAAAAAAAAAAGAAAAAAAAAAGAAAAAAGAAAAAAAAAGATTTGGAGGGACTATTGAAAGGGTATGATTGTGTTTGGAAATGTGAGGACATGAGATTTTGGAGGGGCAGTGGTGAAATGATATGGTTTGCCTCTGTGTCCCCACCCAAATCTCACCTTGAATTGTTATAATCCCCACATGTCAAGGAAAAGACCAGGTAGAGGTAATTGAATCATGGGAGTGGTTTCCTCCATGCTGTTATTGTGAAAGAGTGAGTCTCATGAGATCTGATGGTTTTTATAAATGTCTGGCATTTCCCCTGTTGGCGGTCATTCTCTCTCCTGCTGCCCTGTGAACAGTTGCCTCCTGCCATGGTTGTAAGTTTCCTGAGGTATCCCCAGCCATGTGGAACTGTGAGTCAATTAAACATCTTTTTTTAATAAATTACCCAGTCTCAGGTATTTCTTCATAGCAGCTTGAGAATGAACTAATACACCCAGCCAGAGCAATCATGCAAAAGAAAGAAATAAAAGGCATCCAAATTGAAAAGGGGAAGTCAAATTTTCCCAGTTCACTGATGATATGACCTACATCTAGAAAACCTCAGTCTCCACCAAATATCTTTTGAATTTGAGAAATTAGTTTAGTAAAGTTTGAAGATCCCTTTACAAAAAATTGGTAGCATTTATACATACCAATAATGATCCAGCAGATAAACAAATAAAGACAACAATCCCATTTACAACAGCTAGTGAAAAATAAACTAAGAATAATTTTAGCCAAAGAGGTAAAAGATATCTACAAGGAAAACTACAAAACACTGGTGAAAGTAATTGTAGATGTCAAAAACAAATGGAAAAATATCCCTTGCTCTTGGATTAGAAAAAACTAACATTATTAAAATGACCATACTGTGCAAAGCAATCTACAGATTTAACGCAATCCATAAAAAAATTCATTTTTCACAGAAATAGAAAATACTATCCTCAAAATCATATGGAACTAAAAAAGAGCACAAATAACCAAATAAATACTAAGCAAAAAGAATAAGGCTGGAGGCATCTCATTACCTGACTTCAAATTATACTGTAAGGCTACAGTAACCAAAGCAGCATGGTACTGATATAAAAATAGACACATAGATCAAGGGAACAAAACAGGGAACACAGAAATAAAGCCATGCACTCAGAGCCAGCTCTTTTGTGACAAAATCAACAGGAACATATACTGGGGAAATGACACCCTTTTCAACAAATGGTGCTGGGAAACTTTGATTGCCATACACAGAAGAATGAAATTGGACCCTTATCTTTCAGCATATTCAAAAATCAACTCAACATGGATTAAACCCTTAAATGCAAGACATGAAATTATAAAAATACTATAAAAATACCTAAGGAAAATTCTCCTGGACATTGGTCTAGGCAAAGTATTTATGAATAAGATGTAAAAAGCACAGGCAGCAAAAACAAAAATAGACAAATGGGACTTAATTAAACTAAAAATCTTTTGCACAGCAAAAGAAATAATCAAGATTGAACAGGCAACCTATAGAATGGGAGATAATATTTGCAAATAATGCATGTGACAGGGGATTAGTAATCAGAATTTAGAAGGAACTCAAACAACTCAAAAAGAAAACTCAAAATAATCCCAGTACAAAGTGGGCAAAGGACATGGATAAACATACAAATGGCTAACAGGCACATGAAAATGCTCAACATCACTAATTATCAGAGAAACGCAAATTAAAACCACAATGGGATATCATTTTACATGAGTCGGAATGGCTATTTTTCAAAAGAAAAAATAACAAGTGTTTGTGAGGAGAAAACATAATGCTTATGCACTGTTGGTAAAAATGTAAATTAGTGCATTCACTATGACAGTATGGAGATTTCTCAAAGAACTATAAATAGAACTACCACTCAATCCAACAATCCCACTATTGAGTATCTACCCAAAGGAAAATAACTCACTATATCAAAAAGATATCTGTACTCATATGTTTATTGCAGTACTATTCACAACAGCAATGATATACGATCAACCTATGTGTCCATCAACAGATGATATGATAAAGAAAAACTGCAAGATATATATATACATATGCATATATATGAATATATATAAAAATATATATCTTGCACTTTTTTAGGATCATAGTATTCCATTATATATATATATTCCAAATAGTATTCATATATATGTATATATATATATATATTATATATAATAAGGCACATGTCACCGCCACTGCTCCCAGGTTTGCTTTTTAATATAATTTCATCATTTGTTTGTGTTGTCATATTTTCTTAATAGCCATCCAGTTTCAAAATCATGGGAAATTTATCCTACATTTCATGGGTAATTTTCTTCTCAAAGACAATTCTATGTCCAAGTTTACACTCCAGTCAAATATTTTAATAACAGACCTCTCATTAGTTAGGATAGACTAACTCATTATCAAGTTCCTATCTATCTATCTACATATACATACATGTGTATATGAATACTATATATCTATATATGTAAATGGAATACTATTTAGCCATAAGAAAGAATGAAATCTGTCTTTTGCAGCAATATGGATGAAAATGGAGGCCATTATCTTAAGCATAACAAGTCAGGCACAGAAAGACAAATACCATATGTTCTCACTTATAAGTGGGAACTAAATAATGTGTACACAGGAGTGTAAAGTGTGGAATGATAAACAATGGAAAGGTGAGGGGATGGAATAGGGTGCATGATGAGAGATTACTCACTGGGTACAATGTACATTATTTGGATAATGGATACCCAAAAAGCCCTTTTTCCACCACCATGCAATCTATGCATATGACAAAATATATTTCTGATAGATTTGTAGAGAAATAGAAATTTTTATCAGAGTGTTTTAATTAAATATATCTCTCTTAACTTACTTTAGTCAAAATAACCACATGAAAGTAGATCCATTTCTCTTTAGCATAAAATGGTTTCTGTGTATTTGTGTATTTGGCAGGACATAAATAAGCATGTGATCTAATTTCGCCTTTTAAAAAGTTGTATAAAATTGTTTGTGACAATTCCAAGTTTCTTTTTTAAAAGGTTGCATATGAAATAGACTAATAAGCCCTAAACAAAATTTCAGTTATATTGTCATAATGGGTAAAAAATAAAACAATATTTGGATTAAGAAGATAATTATCTTTTCCATTTCCAGGACCACAATTATGAACCACATTTCCATGTGCCTCTTGACTCAAATTATTCACAAAGCTAACTGAAGTCTCAAACATTCAAACAAAATATAGCTAATTAAATATGGTATTTATGAAAACAAACCAATGTACTTTTAAGAGTCATATGCATGCCTCTATTAAGAGTACTCTTCCATCATTCCAAAGCCAGTATAACAATACCATTACTTTGAAGTGCTTTTGTTTGTCTGTTTGTTTTAGAGAAGGAGTCTCACAATGTTGCTCAGGCTGATCTTGAACCCCTGGTTTCAAGTGATCTTCCTCTCCTTAGGCGCCTAAGCAGCTGGGACTACAGGCACATGTCACTGCCACTGCTCCCAGGTTTGCTTTTTAATATAATTTCACAATTTGTTTGTGTTGTCATATTTTCTTAATAGCCATCCAGTTTCAAAATAATGGGAAATTTATCCCACATTTCATGGGTAATTTTCTTCTCAAAGACAACTCTAACTCCAAGTTTACACTCCCATCAAATATTTTAATAACAGAGCTCTCATTAGTTAGGATAGACTAATCCATTATCAACCACAGGCTTTATTTTTACCCTTTAATTTTTTTTATTGATTCAGGGATACAAGTGCAGTTTTGTTGCCAGGGAATTTGTGTAGCGGTGAAGTCTGTAACCAGTCTTTCCAGGAAGCATGCTTCCACTTGGTGTTTTAAATATATAGATGAAGCTTTATAAAAATGATCAATTTTTCTGTTCCTTTCTTACAAAGGTTATGCTTTAAATTTTCTTCAGTGCTTTAGAAGGCTCCAAAATTACAAGCTGATTTTAAAATGAAACAAATATGTCCAAAATGTCACATTTCCTCTGCCTTCAGTTCTTTCACTTCCATGCCTATCTATTACAATCATATCAATATTGCAAGGCTCAGTTGAAATCCATCAACTATAATGCCTTCCCAGATCCCTGCCTCCTCTCTTCTTAAAGGTAGATAAAATCACTCCTTCCTCTAAATTCCTGTAATACTTGGTGGTTCTCCTATGTTATCCATCATAGTCTGTCTTGTTAGTACAAATTAAGTGGGTACTTGTTTGTCTCACATTTATGTTTGGGAGCTCCTGGAAGTCAAGGTGTATATCTTACTTATAAATTTCCCATATTGCTCAATAACCTGGCATGTAATTATTAAGGGTATAATATTTGTTGAGTAAGTGAAGGAATAAAGGAGGAAATCAATGGGTTTCTGACTAAAATCTTGGGATCCTATGTACCCATATATCACCTCCTCACAAGAAGAAAAAGCATTCAAAACCCTAGTTCATATGATAATTGGAAAGAGAGCAGAAAAGCCATATGCCAAACTAAGAGGAAAAAGAAGGGGTAGCTACGAAATATCCTTTGTGTTTCATTATCCAATGCCCATAAACTTGAAAAATAGTATTCTAACATTATAATGTTAATGCAATATATTATCATAAATATTGTTAATGTTTTACAGGTTTTTACATATATTTTACTCATATTATCTCCAGACAGCCCATGAAATAAGCAGCATAGATTATTAACTATGACCTTCATTTTATAGTTGAGGAAACATGTTCAGGAGGGCTGTCATACCCAAGTTCATTCAGCTAAGTTGCAAATCAGAATTGGAACCCAAATCTGTCTGACTATAAGTCCTGTATGTTATATCATACCTCATAACTGTCTCTCAAACTCCAAAAAGATGCACAGTGTTTACTTTGTTTCACCCCAGCTATGGGAATGGTTTTTGCACACTCTTCTACTCTGTCATTAGTCTGCCCATGCCTCCCCCACACTGTGCACATGATTGCAAGACAGGAAATAGAATTAAAAGTGAGATCTGTGGTCATAGAATGAAAACAAACAAACAACAACAAACCTGGCAGGCCTAGTCACAAACTAAACCCATCAATACTGTATGCTAACTAACTGAGTCAATGAGCTGAGTTACTACTGAAGATCCAGTGGGATTGTAAATATTTTATCAAAATTTGCATGAAATTGACACCTTTGTCCTTTTCTAAATCACGATTCTTACCTTTATAACAGAGGTACCAGCTCTGGAGAGTGGACTGTGAATCTGTGCTGCAGCAGCCATGTTGGCAATAGTATTGAGATGGTTCATCTGATTCATTGCCATGGCAACTGATGCAGGAGGTAAGCTGACTGGAAGTAGGGGATGAGGCATCATCATAAATGGCAGATCCAGTCCTAAAAGAGACAGTGCATATTAAACTTGTTACATTATGATTATCTGAAATAGTTTGTTAAAAAGTACCTAAATTCATTCTTAGTTTTCTTATAAAAACAATTTTTATTATATCTTAGTGTCTCCTTGTGCCATTAATAGTACCTGTGTTATTTTATATTGTTTAATCATTTTAAAAATCTTCCTGTATCCACACATTTAATTATAAATATGCTTTGTTTTTGCTTTCACTTCCCAAATATTTATAAGATGCAAAATTTTTACCCATAAAACAAACACAAATCTTTAAGCCAAACATCATTGCATTTCAAAACTAAGAACTTTCTTCTTAATCATTATAACCATTTTGTAACATCATAACAATAATGCATTGATGTGTTGATAGTTGACAGCTTTACAATTTCTTTAAGACACTTAATAGAGGTGCTGATAAGGCAGGATGTAGATTCTCTAAGCTTCAGAACTGTAGAAGAAAACAAGACTTGGAGTATGTTATACCCTTTTAGATATAAATCTCTAAAATGAATGCTTATATTAATAGCTTTAATTTAAAGTCTTTGTCAATAAATAATAACTCCCCTATCAAAATATCAACGTATTTTCTAGTTTAATAAGAAATACTTAATAACAAATATTGTTAGGTCATTTCAGGAATTTCATTTTTTTCTTATGCAAGTTGAAATAATTTTCACACATTTGAAATATCTGAAAGAATATATCTCAATTATTATCCACATTCAACTTCTGGCAGCCACAGGTTTGCCATCATGTAAAAGGTAACATTAAAATCGTTGTCTACTTATCCCTTAATAGGCTGAAATTTGTAGGAGGAAAGGAGTTTGAGCAGAGTCTACTAAAATTTAGTCTAGCTTCATGGATGTGAACGTGACTGTGAGCAAACCGTAGCACTTATTACAAACAATTACCTCTACAGTAATCTTGCCTAATTTTGGACAGAAGCCCAGAAATCAGTAGTCTTTAATAGATATTCTAAAATATCCCTGCTTATAATTTTTCTAAATTATCACAGACTACAGAAATTCTATGGTGGACAGCATTTATGTTGATTCTGCGCACAAGTATTAAGTATTAATAACGTCCTTTTTTACTCTTGGTAATCGCTTCACTTTTCCTTGTTTCCCTTATCACAACAGAAAAAGAACATCAGTGAATCTATAGGAAGTATATTAAAAAGCTCCCTAAATCTCATTCCTCAAAACAAAGTGGCAGTAATACAAACACTCAAAACACATATATTTTTAGGACAAAGATTTTCTCGCATTCTATGGCTTCTTTTCATTTTCTTAATGTGTTTCACAGAGTAGTTTTTAATTTTAATAAAGTCCAATTTTAATGGGAGCTAGAAGGAAGAAGCAGTGTTAATTTATTTGAGGTCCGTCTCCTGATTTCAATTATAATGGTTGATCTAAAACTGTTAACAAGAAAGTACAAAGGCAGCACAATCAATGGATTACATTTCCAGGTAGGTAAGGTCTCATACAACACTCAAGTGATTATCACAATGAAAGGAATTCCTAAATAAAGAAAACATTATCCACCAGTGTTTCTGATAAAGATAGTCACAAAATGCAGTGTTATCAGAATTACATAAGGATAAAACCTAACCTAGAAACTTAAATTCTGCGTGGAACTCAGGAAAGGAAACATTCTCTGTACTCCCTATCTGACTCCATATCCTGGAGTCAGAAAATATTTTAAACTTTTCTCCTATCCGTGTTCACTTATGGCTCACTATCTGTAAATCCTTTTTAGGAACAACTTTCCAAACTAAACTTATGAGCTCTGAAACATTTTTCTTGCAATTATTAATTTATCAATGAGGCCTCAAAACAACTCTTACAACATTGAATTCAAAATGGCCTTTTCCACTCACTTTTGGTTATTTTTACTTTTAATAGTTACAATTTTTATTGTAAATTGACAAATTACAATTGTATATACTTATGGAATACAAAATGATCCCATTATATATTATATATGTGTACACACACATATATACACACATATATATATACACACAACGTGGGATAATTAAATAAAGCTAATTAATATATCCATTACCTCAAACACTTGTCATTCTGGAGAACATTATGCTAAGCAAAATAAGCCAGGCACAGAAAGACAAATGCTGTACAATCTCATTTGTATGTGGAACTCACTTCCTTTAAAACTAGAAGCATATTTTCAGTTAGCCTTCTAAAATTACTTAGGTACATATGCACTTTTATACTGAAATTATCATATAGCTTATGCTATAATGATATTTTATAATATATATTAAACTAATCACTGTTTATCTTTCTCCTGAAACCTTCACATTATGCTCAATATAATAACGACAATCAATGACCTAAGTAGGTTTCTATATAAGGCTATCATTTACCACAAGCCCAAGGTAATTATACACTTCAGTCCTTCTTTGTTTACACTGCTTCAGTCACAAATTGATCAAACTTAGATGAAAAGTAGCCATCAGTGCTCCTATTTACTATTCAAATGCTTAAATAAGCTTTTGTTCAATTTACAGTTCCCTTAACAGTGTAATAATCTTTCCTCATTCTCCAAAGATTTTCAGCATCACCTAGACACCATCTGGCGATAATAAGAAATATGCCTACTTAAAGTCCAATTGACATGCAAACTAAATGCAAACTACAAAAAGAATTTAACAGCCCATTGGCAGTTTTAAAATCTAATTCATCAAACATTTCAAATGACCATGAAAGGCTTAAAACTCATACTTTGAAATCATGACCTGCAATAGCTGTCAATTGACCGTAATGCCCTAGACTTTACCCCAAGCTAGTACTTACATAACAGGCCAGTTTAACAGTGACCACACATGAGTTCTCCATGCAAAGCATACGCAAATACTGAATTATGAAAGTCAAACGTTTTCTGAAACTGAACACATAAAATTAAAAACCATCAGTAGTACACACCACACCCGCAACCTGGCTCACTTAGTCACATGCTAGATATACAGGTAGCCTTTTAATAGCATGGTAATAAAGACAAATCTTTTTTAAAAATCACCAAAATGGGTTATCTCTTTTCCTATTGACTTCGCGGACATTATGCAAGTTACTAAAAGAATAATTCTTTTTTTAATTTAATTTACTTTTTTATTTTTTATTTATTTATTTTTTTAATGAGACGGAGTCTCACTCTGTCATCCAGGCTGAAGTGCAGTGGAGAGATCTCGGCTCACGCAACCTCCGCCTCCCGGGCTCAAGCGATTCTCCTGCCTCACCCTCCCGAGTAGCTGGCATTACAGGCATGTGCCACCATGCCCAGCTAATTTTTTTTATTTTTAGTACAGATGGAGTTTCACCATGTTGGCCAAGCTGGTCTCGAACTCCTGACCTCAAGTGATCTGCCTGCCTCGGTCTCCCAAAGTCCTGGGATTACAGGCGTGAGCCACAGAGCTGGGCCTGTAAGAATAATTTCTAATGCATCTTGGTATTTCAGCAACTCCTATAATTTTTATGTAAGTGCATAGCACCACCTCCTTCTAGCCATGAAAGGTACAAACTTTAGTAATCCTCTATCTAAATCCCACATTGATTTGATTTCTAAGTCACGTTGACTTCTGTAATATTTTGTCATTTCTACAGTGACTACCAGGCATTAATCCCTTGATACAAGTACCCTATCTTCCCAATCTGTCTTACTGTGGCTTTTCATTTGCTTTTCCACTCCCTTTTTAAGACTTCCAGTGACTACTTACTGCTACCAGAATAAAATACAAGCATTTTTATTTCATCCAAAATTACCTTTCTGGTTGTAATGTTTCATTATATTCCTCTCTGTATGCTGTACTCTAGCCCCACTGGACTATTTACATCTACAGTTTGAATTCACGTTAGCCTTCACTCATGTTAATGCTTCTCTCTGGAATCTGCCTTCCTAACCCAATTGATTTGCCTATATAAATACCCCTTCCTTTAAAAAAATAAATAGACTAGTTTTAGAGCAGTCTTAGATTAATAAAACACATTAGCAGAAGTTACAGAGAATTTCCTTATATCTCCACTCTGCCATCACACAGTTGGCCCTCATATTACTATCTTGTAATAATCTGTTATATATCTACATTTGAAAAATCAATATTGATGTATTAACCACAGTCCACAGTTTACAGCAGAGGTCACTTGTTTTATCCCTCTCCCCATCCTCTGGCAACCACTGGTCTTTTTAGGCTGTATAGATTTGCCTTTACCTGAATGCTACCTAGTTAGAATCACACACTATTTAGCCTTTTCAGACTGATTTGTTTCACTTAGCAATTTCCGCTTAAGGTTCACCCAAGTCTTTTCAAGGTTTGATAGCTCATTTGTATTTATTGCTAAATATGTTTCCATAGTACATATATACCACAGTTGTTTTATGCATTCATCTATTAAAGGATATCTTGGTTGTTTCTAATTTTTAGTAATTATGAACAAAGTTACTATAAACTTTGGTGTATAGGTTTTTGTGTGAACTTAAGTTCTCCATTGATTTGTATAAATACAGGACTATGTTTACTTTAGTTAAAAAAATGCCCAAAATGTCTTCCAAAGTCACTATAGTATTTTGCATTTCCATTAAAACCAAACTGAAAGTTCCTGTTGTTCCAAATCTTTGTGAACAATTGAAGTTGACAATTTTGGATTTTAGTTATTTCAACAGGTGTGTATGGGTATCTCCTAGTTGTTTTAATTTGCAATTCCCTAGTGACATATTATATTCAACATGTTTTCATATGCTTATTATCCAACTATGCCTTAATTAATGAGATGTCTGTTTACGACTTTTGTCCACTTTTTAATTTGGTTGCTTATTTCTTATTGTTGAGATTAAAAGTTCTTTGTATATCTATTGGTCCTTTATCATATATGAGTTGTGCAAAGACTTTTTCCTACTCTGTTGTTTGTTTTTTCATTCTCTTAACAGTGTGTGTCATGAACGGTTTTTAAGTTTAATGAAATCCAACTTATTAGTTTATTTTAAGGTTTATGCTTTTGATATTGTATCTAAAACCACATTGTCAAACCCAAGATCACCTAGCTTTTCTCTGATGTTATCTTCTAATAGATTCAGAGTTTTGCAATTTACATTTAGGACTATGATCCTTTTGAGTTAATTTTTGTGAAGGGCAGATGGTCTGTGTCTAGGTTCATTCTTTGCATGTGATATCCCAATTGTTCCACTGTAATTTGTAGAAAAATGCTATGATCTTTCTATTGAATTGTCTTTGCTCTTCCATCAAATACCAATTGACTACATTTGTGTGGATCTATTTCTAGGCTCTCTATTCTGTTCTATTAATACTAATCTACTTGTCAGTTCTTTTGCCAAAATCACACTACCATGATTACTATAACTTTACAGTAAATAATGAAGTATGGTAGTGTCAGTCCACTACATTTTTTCTTGTTCAATACTTTGCTGGCTATTGTGGGTCTTTTACTTTCCATATAAATGTTGGAATCACTATGTGAGTATCCACAAAACAACTTCCTTGGATTTTGATGGGGAATATATTGAATCTATAGATCAAGTGGGAAGAATTGCTGTTCTAATCATATTGAGTCTTCCTATCCATGAACGTAAGATATCTCTCCATTTATTTATATATTCCTGGATTTTTTCATCAGAGTTCTGCAGTAGTCCTTCTAATCATCTTATATATATTTTGCTATGTTTACTCCTGAGTATTTCAATTATTGTTGCTAATTTAAACAATTTTGTGTTTTTATTTGTACAAATTTAAGAGGTAGAAGTGCAGTTTTGTTACATGGATATATTGTGTAGTGGTGAAATCTAGGTTTTTAGTGTAATCATCACCCAAACAATGTGCTCTGTACCCATTAAGTACTTCCTCCTCCCCCACTCCCTTCCCACCCTCCCACCCTTCCAAATCTCCAATGTCTATTATTCTACACTATGTCCATGTGTACATATGATTTAGTTCCCACTTATAAGTTTTTGACTTTCTGTTTCAGAGTTGTTTCACTTAAGATGAATTTTTAATTTCAAATTGCAACTGTTCATTGTTGGTATACAAGAAAGCAGTTGATTTTGTACATTAATTTTGTATCCTGCAACCTTACTATAATCTCTTATTAGTTCTATGAGAATTTTTTGTAAAATCTTTTGAAATTTTACAAAGATAATCAGTCATCTTTGAACCAATACAGTTTTTTCTTCCCTAATTGGTATAAATTTTATTTCATTTTTCTTGTCATTTTTTACCAACTAAGGCCTCCAGTATAACGATGAATAGAAGTGATAAGAGGTAACGTCCTTCCCTTGTTTTCGATCTTAGGGGAAAAGCATCTAGTTTTTCACCATTGAGTAAGATGTCAGCAGTAGGTTTTTATAGATGTTCTTTAACAAGTTGAGGCAGTCCCCCTCTTTTCCTATTTTTTTCTAAGAGTTTTTATTATGAATGGGTATTGTATTTTCTCAAAAACTTTTTCTGCATCTACTTTTAGTATCATATTATTTTTATTCTCTAGCCTACTGATGTAATAGATTACATCAATTGATTTTCCAATGTTGAGCTACCGTTGCATACTTGGAATAAATTCCACTTGGTCATGGTGTGTAATTTTTTTTTTTTTTTTTTAGATGGAGTCTTACTCTGTCACCAGGCTGGAATACAGTGGTGTGATCTCGGCTCACTGCAACCTCCACCTCCCTGGTTCAAGCGATTCTCCTGCTTCAGCCTCCCAAGTAGCTGAGACTACAGGCGCACGCCACCACACACAGCTAATTTTTGTACTTTTAGTAGAGACGGGGTTTCAGCATGTTGGCCAGGATGGTCTCGATCTCTTCACCTCGTGATCCACCGGCCTCAGCCTCTCAAAATGCTGGGATTACAGGCGTGGGCCACCGCGCCTGGGCGGTGTGTAATTTTTCCTAAACATTGTTAACTTTAATGTACTATTCTGTTTTCAGGATTTTTGCATTATGTTCATCAGAGATACTGATCTGTAGTTTCCCTTTCCTATGTTATCTTTCTCTGGTATTTTGGTATTTAGGTAATTCTGATCTCATAGAATGAGTTAGAAAGTATTCCCTCTGCTTCTATCTTCTGGAAGAGATTGCAGAGAATTGGTATATTTTCTTCTTTAAATGTTTGGTAGACTTTACCTGTGAACCCATTTGAACATGGTGCTTTCTGTTGTGGAAGGGTTTTAATTATAGATTTTATTTCTGTAATATGTATAGGCCTTTTCAGATTATCTGTTTCTTCTTGTGTGAGTATTGGTAGATTGTATCTTTCAAAAAATTGAGTAATTTCATCCAAGTTATCAAATTTGTGGGTATAGAGTTGTTGAGTATTGCTATATTATCATTTTAATGTCATAGGATAAATAGTGATGGCTTCTATTTTCTGATGATAGTAATTTGCATCTTCTCTCTTTTTCTTAGTTAGCCTGCCTAGGGGTTTATGAATTTCATTTGTCTTGTCAATGAACCAGCTTTTGGTTTCATTGATTTTCTCTGTTGATTTTCTGTTTCCAATTTCATTCATTTCTATACTAATAATTATTATATATTTTCTTCTGCTTTAGATTTAATTTTTTATCTTTTTATTTTCCTAAGGTGGAAGCTTTGGTTACTGATTTTATCTCTTTATCCTTTTTAATATATTAATTAATTCAATGCTATATATTTCCCTCTAAGCACTGCTTTTGTTACATCCTATGAAATTTGATAAATTATATTTTTATTGTCATTTACTTTAAAATACTTTTGAATTTTTCTTGGGGGTTCTTTTTTGACTTGTGTGGTATTTATAAGTGTACTGTTTAATCTCCAAGTATTTTTTGACTTTACAGCTGTCTTTCTGTTATTGGCTTCTCGTTTAATTCCATTATGACTGAGAGCATACTTTGTCTGATTTCTATTCTTTTAAATGTGTTAAAGTGTATTTTATGGCCCAGAATGTGTCCTATCTTGGTGAATGTTCCACATGAATTTAAGAAGAATTTAAAATTTTAATTAAAATTTTTAATATTTTAAAAATTAAACTATTAAAACTCTTAATGTTTTTTAGTGTTTGCCTTACAGCTTTCAATATATATTTACAATTAGTCTTATTCCATTTACAAATACCACTATACTACTTTAAGGGTACTAAAAATACCTTATAACAGAGTATTCTCAATTCTCAATTCCTCCTTTCAGTCCTTTATAACATTGCTCTCATTTATTTCACTTATCCACAAGGTATAATCATCCAATACATTCTTTTTAAAATTACTTTTTCTTGTTATTTTTCGTATTTTAATAGCTTCGAGAGTACAAGTAACTTTTGGTTACATGGATGAATTGTATAGTGTGAAATCTCAGATTTTAGTGCACCTGTCACCTGAGAAGTGTACACTGTACCCATAATGTAGTTTTTTTGTCCCTCACCCACCCCGCCACACTCCTCCCTTCTGATTCTACAATGTCCATTATACCACTCTGTATTTCTTTTCATACACATAGCTTAAATCCCACTTTTAAGTGAGAATATACAATACTTGGTTTTCCATTCCTGAGTTACTTCACTTAGAATGATGGCCTTCAGCTCCATCCAAGTGACTGCAAAAGATATTAATTTATTCTTTTTGTGGCTGAGTAGTATTCCATGGTGTATACATATAACACGTTATCTTTATCTACTCATCAGTTGATGAACACTTAGGTCGATTCCATATGTTTGCAATTGTGAATTGTGCTGTGGTAAGCATACAAGCGCAGGTGTCTTTCTGATATAATGACTTCTTTTCCTTTGGATAGATACACAGTAGAGGGATTGCTGGATTGAATGGTAGATCTACTTTTAGTTCTTTGAGAAATCTCCATATTGTTTTCCATAGAGGCTGTACTAAATTACATTCCCATCAGCAGTGTATAAGCATTCCTCTTTCATTACACCCAGGCCAGCATCTATATTTTTTAAAAATTTTAATAATATCCATTCTGGCTGGGGTAAGGTACCATCTCGTTGTGGTTTTAATTTGCATTTCCCTATTGATTAGTGATGTTGAGCATTTTCTCATATGCTCTTGGTCATTTGTATATCTTTTTTCTTATTTCTTGTTTCCATGAGTTTTTGGACAACAGGTGGCATTTGGTTACATGATTAAGTTCTTTTTTGGTAATTTCTGAGATTTTGTTGCACCCATCATCCAAGAAGTATGCACTGAACCCATTTTATAGTCTTTTATCCCTCTCCCACCTCCCAAATTTTCCGGAGTCCCCAAAGTCCACTGTATCATTCTTATGCCTTTGCATCCTCATAGCTTACCTCTCGCTTATGAGTGGGAACACACTATGTTTGGTTTTCCATTCCTGAGTTACTTCACTTAGAAGAATAATCTCCAGTTCCATCTAGGCTGCTGTGGATGCAATTAATTTGTTCCTTTATATGGCTGAGTAGTATTCCATTATATATATCTCACATATATATGTGAGATATATATATATATATGTGAGATATATATATATATATAACAATTTCTGTATCCACTTGTTGATTGATGAGTATTTGGGCTGGTTCCATATTTTTGCAATT